>NC_000020.11:7642092-7793607 GCF_000001405.40 Homo sapiens | reverse complement strand
TGTGGTTGCATCTGTTTCATTTAGCAATAAGAGGGATATTTTAAAAAATAGATGCAGAAAATATATGGGAGGCTTTTCACTGCTATTGTTCAAGTTTGACTGAATTAATTTTCTCTGTCTTATGTTTATGGTGCAAACAAGCTTGGTTCCTAAGTCTTTTTCTCCAACACTTAGCTCTTCACTTAGCAGCCTTCAAGCTCCAAGATGTGTTTATTCTAAGGCCTTGAGCTAACTTGAGGCTGGCCAGTGGTCCAAAGCTAAATCTGCACATTTTACATAAAGCATCAGCTGAGTTTCTCAGCAAACCTTTCTGAATTTCCTTCCCATTCAAAATGTTAGCATTTTATTCAATATAATTCTTTATTGAGCTTCTATAGTGGTCTTTGTCAATGATGTAGTCTGTAAGAATACAAGAAACCTCCTAATTCTACTGTTTTGTGTAACCTAGAAAAGTTATGTTACAGCAGACAACCCTGGGTCCACAATATAGGTGATTTTTCTTTTGAGAGTTACTGTTCTCATGCTTGTAAATAAGTACACCGTTCAAGACATAGTCAAAAAAGACTTCCTTTTTGCTCTTATTCATTCTATTCTCACTCTTCACAGTAAGCCTGGGTCTGAATCTTAACCTAACTGCCAAAATCTTGGCCTTGTTAATATTTTCTGTCTGGTAAGTTACATTCATCAGAGTCAAATGAACATGAAAGCCTTTCTAAATGACCTCTGGAAGAAAACAGCTCCTGGCAATTAAAAAAATAATAATTTGTAATCATCATATATTGACTAAGGTTGGCCATAATATTTATAAATAACCATAGAAACACATGACTAACAGGATCTACACAGTTGCTTCCAAACCTCCTTCCAGCACCAGGGGAGTCACATAACACTTTTAATCTGAAATGCCAGGTGATGGCAAATATTACTTACATAAAGATAGAAAAACTAGACCTGCTGGAGTGATTTCTTAATGGTCTCCTTTGCAAGCAGCCTTGCTAGCCACATTCTCACAGTCCTGCTGACAGATGATTGATGAAACCTCAGTCCAGTCATGCCTGCTGAATCAAGAAAAGGGATTGCAGAAACAGCAGAAATATTTAAAATAGAATTGTTTTATATTCCATTCTATAAGATAGTAGTGGCAACATTTGCACCTGGAATGGAGGTCTTTCATTCAGGATCAAAATGAATGTAGTATTGTCTTGGGTAACGAGTTATACCAAGGCCATGTAGTCATCCTGTCACCAGACAGCTGTGGAGCTAAGTGTTGGGGGACTGGTGCTGTTCGAGAAAGTTGTTTCTGCGTAATTAAGCTTGACCTATGAAGTAATATTGGAAAATGCATTGTCCCACATTATTTACCCGAGGATGACTTCAAGGGGCTGAAAATAAGAATTGTCTGGTACTGGAATGCAATGAATGCAAGTTGACTTTCCATGATCAGAAACATTAAAACTCATGCCTGTTTTGATGCCCTGATGAGATTGCATCTGTTTCAACCTTTGTTTATTCAATAAGTTTCCATCAAGTTTCATATATCTGGGCTTCTAATATATATTAGAGGAGGCTGTGGCACATTGGATGGTCCTAGCTTGAATATGATGGTGCTTGTTGTCCTATGTCAGTTGTCTCAAATAATTGGCCTTAATGACAACACTGTAAGCATTCATTAGTAAAGTGTTAAGGATTTAATCAACTTTAAATTAAACTAAAGTTTAAAACTTTAGTTTTAAAATATTTACTTATGAAAAAGTTGGCCAAGTTAGATTTTTTTGCTATTTTCTTATTTTAGTCTTTTACAACAAGGTAATTCAATTTGAGATTTATAGACTCATCCCCTGTAATTCAGCGCATATTCAATTAAAATTGAAATACTATGTATATCCCTTAGGAGTAGGAGTTCTGAATTTGGATCTTTTTAGGTTTCTAATATAATACTGGGAAGACACAGAATAAATATTAAACAAAATTATGCAAAGTGGATCATTTCTCTTGCTTTTAGAATGACTTTCCTAATTCTGCATTTCTTATTTGGTACATTTAGGCAAGATCATGTCTTTTGCAGCAACATGGATGCAGCTGGAGGCCATTATCCTAAGAGAATTAACACAGCAACAGAAACCCAAATACCGCATGTTCTCACTTATAAGTGGGAGCTAAACATTGAATATACATAGACACAAAGATGGGAACAATACATAGTCAGGATTACTTGAGTTGGGGGAGGGTGGGGCAGGGGAAAGATTGAAAAACTACCTATCAGGTACCATGCTCACTACTGAGTGACAAGATCATTCATACACCAAACCTTGGCAACATGCAATTTACTCATGTAGCCAACCTGCACATGTGTCCCCCTGAACCTAAAATAATTGTTGAAAAAAGTAAATTAAAAAAAAAAGAACTGTAACTTGGAGACTAAATTGGTGTTGCTCCCTTTGTTTTAAGATCTTTCAAAGACAGGGGCAATAGAGGAAATGCCCTTATATGTGTGTATGTGTGTGTGTTTATAGATGGGTTTATTTCCTGAAATATTTGAGAATAACTTATAACATGATTTTCTCTTATTTCTAAACTCTTCCATGTATGTTTCCTAAAAACAAGAACATTGTCTTATTCAACTACAGTACAATTATCAAAAGCTGGGAAATGGGCTGGGCCTGGTGGCTCATGCCTGTAATCCCAGCACATTGGGAGGCTGAGGCTGACGGATCACTTGTGGTCAGGAGTTCGATACCAGCCTGGCCAACATGGTGAAACCCCGTCTCTACGAAAAATACGAAACTTAGCCAGGCATCGTGGCAGATGCCTGTAATCCCAGCTACTTGGGAGGCTGAGGCAGGAGAATTGCTTGACCCTGGGAGGCGGAGGTTGCAGTGAGCTGAGATTGTGCCACTGCACTCCAGGCTGGGTGACAGAGATTCTGTCTATAAAAAAAAAAAAAAAAGCTGGGAAGCTGGGAAATGAACATGTGTACAGTAATATCATCTAATCTACAGATCTCTTCAGGTCTTGCCAATTGTCCCCAGTGCTATTTTTCTGGCCCAGGATCCAATTCAAGATCTTACACTATCATGTCTTTCTGGTGACAATTCATCTGAAACTCTTTCAGGCCCTTCCTGGCCTCTCATGTCCTCAGCATCTCTGGAGAGCACAGAATGGTAACCTTGCCAAGTGCCCTTGATTCAGGCATGCCACTTCCTCCTAACCAGATTCAGACTGTGCATTCCTGGCCAGACCACAGAAAAGATGCCAAGTCCGTCTCAGTGCATCATATCTGGAGTATGGGTTTTGAAATTAGAAACCACTAATATCAGACAGTGTAACCTGGCGAAAAATATGCAAGTACTCTGAACTTCAGTTTCTTCATCTGTAAAATAGGAATATTAATATGAAGTTCACAGTGTTGCTAGGGAATTATATAATGGGGTAAACTACTTAGCTCAATATCTGACACATATGAATTGTCCAACAAATGTTAGTTGTTATTGCATCTCTCTTAGAAGCTGGACATAAGCAGACCTTCAGAAATTATGGTCATTGATATCCAGGTTCCCTAGTACCTCACCAGGAAAGCAGCAGAATCCTTTTGATTTGTTATTAGTTTTGGCAAAACACTTGGGAGAGGCAGAGGTGGCTGCAATTAATGCTTCATGTGAGGTTTAGGATTAACTGAATCATTCAGTTCAGCAGGCTAACCCTTCCATGATAGCTCATGGAAACTTGGACTTCAAGTCATAATATCCAGCCATACAGTCAACGTAAAATTCATTTCCCACCCAGCATCAGCAAGCCCAAATTGGATGAGGATTTGGGGGGCCAGCTGAAAGACATGAGATACACACCTAACCACATTTGTCTCATCCAGTGGAACTTTATTTTTTTTAAGGGTTGAATTGTTTCCTGAAGAGGTCATCTTAGTCTAAGTTGCCTGTTTCTTTGTTTTTAAATTTGACTTTTTTTTTTTAGAGACATTTTAGGTTCACAGCAAAATTGAGCAGAAAGTAGAAAGATTTCCCATATACCCCCTACTCCCACACATGCACAGGCTCTCCCACTACAAAAATTCCACATCCAAGTGGTACATTTGTTATACTAGATGAACCTATACTGATATATCATTATCACCCAAAGTCCATTGTTTACATTAGGGTTCACTCTTAGTGTTTTATATTTTATGAGTTTTGACCAATGTATAATGGCTTACGTTCCCCATTATAGTATTATACAGAGTAGTTTCACTGAGCTAAAGATCTTCTCTGCTCTATGAAATGATCCCTGCCTCCTCCACCCAGCTCCTGGCTGATTCTTTCACTGTCTCCATAGTTTTGACTTTTGCAGGATTTCATGCAGTTGGAATTATACAATATATAGCCTTTTTAGGCTGGCTTCTTTCACTTAGTAATATGCATTTATGTTTCCTCCATGTCTTTTTATGGCTTCGTAGTTCACTTCTAGTTAGTGCTGAATCATATTCTATTGTCTGAATGTACCAAGGTTTGTTTATCCATTCATTTGCAGAAGGACATGTTGGTTGCTTCCAATTTTTGGCAATTATATGAATAAATAAAACTGCTATAAATATTCATGTGCAAGTATTTGGGCAGATATAGTTTTTAACTCATTTGGATGAATACCAAGGAGTGCAATTGCTGGATCATATGATAAGGGTATGTTTAGTTTTGTAAGAAACTGCCAAATTATTTTCTATAGTGGCTGTACCATTCCCACCAGCAATGAATGAAAGTTCCTGTTGCTCCCCATCCATACCAACATTTGGTATAGTCAGTGTTTTGACTATTCTAATAGGTGTGTAATGACATCCAATTGATGTTTTAATTTGAAATTCTCTAACGACATGATTTTGAGCACCTGTTCATATGGTTATTTTCCATTTGTATATCTTATTTGGTGAGGTGTTTGTTTGCGTCCTTTGTCCATTTTTACATCAGGGTCATTAGTTTTCTGATTACTGGGCTTTAAACGTTCTTTGTATATTTTGTTTAAGTGTCATTTATCTGGTATGTCTTTTGAAGCTATTTTTCTCCCAGTCTGTGTCTTGTCTTCTAATTCTCTTGACAGCATCTTTTACAAAGCAGAAGTTTCTAAATTTAATGAAGTGTAGCTTGTCAATTCTTTGTTTCATAGATTGTGATTTGGCATCCTGTCTAAAAAATTGTTATACCTAAGATCATCTAGGTTTTCTCCTATGTTATTCTTTAAGAGACTTATACTTTTTCATTTTACACTTAGGTGCCTATAATTCATTTGGTGTTACCTTTGTGAAGGGTGTAAGGTCTATGTCTAAATTCTTTTTTTCTTTTTGCATGTGACTGTCTAGTTGTTCCAGCACTATTTGTTGAAAAGGCTGTCTTTGCTCCACTCTACCATCTTTACTTCTTTGTCAAAGATCAGTTGACTATATATATATATACACACATACATATATATACACACATACATATATATACACATACCTATATATACATACATATATACACACACATACATACATATATATATACATATATATATATATATATTTTTTTGAGACAGAGTCTCCCTCCATCGCCCAGGCTGGAGTGCAGTGGCGCAATCTCGGCTCACTGCAAGCTCCGCCTCCTGGGTTCACGCCATTTTCCTGCCTTAGCCTCCCGAGTAGCTGGGACTACAGGCACCCACCACCACGCCCGGCTATTTTTTTTTTTTTTTTTTTTTGTATTTTTAGTAGAGACGGGGTTTCACCGTGTTAGCCAGGATGGTTTGGATCTCCTAACCTCGTGATCCGCCTGCTGCAGCCTCCCAAAGTTGACTATATTTACATGGGTCAGTTTTGGGTTATCTGTTCTGTTCCATTTATCTATTCATCTATTTTTCACCAATATCACACTGTCTTGATTATTGAAGCTGTGTTGTAAGTTTGGACTTACAATAGTTTGTCCACCAGCTTCAGTGATGTGTTAGCTATTCTGAGTCTTTAGCCTCTTCATGTAAACTTTAGAATCAGTTTGTCGATATCCACCAAATAACTTGCTGAAATTTTTATTGAGATTGAAAAGGATCTGTAGATCAAAATGGGAAGAACTGATATCTTGACAATGTTGAATATTTCTATCCATGAAAATGTAGTATCTCTTCAAATCTCTTCATTTATATAGTTCTTCTTTGATTTATTTCATCTTTGATTTATTCCATTTAGATATTGTACATATTTTTAGATTCTTCCCAATGTATATCATTTTTTCAGTGATAATGTAATTGGAGTTATGTTTTCATTTTTATTTTATTTTATTTATTTATTTATTTATTTTTGAGACGGAGTCTCACTCTGTCGCCCAGGCTGGAGTGCAGTGGCACGATCTCGGCTCACTGCAAGCTCCACCTCCCAAGTTCATGGCATTCTCCTGCCTCAGCCTCCAGAGTAGCTGAGACTACAGGCACCCGCCACCACGCCTGGCTAATTTTTGTATTTTTAGTAGAGACAGAGTTTCACCGTGTTAGCCAGGATGGTCTGATCTCCTGACCTCGTGATCCGCCCGCCTCGGCCTCCCAAAGTGCTGGGATTACAGGTGTGAGCCTCCGTGCCAGGCCTTATTTTTTATATTAACCTTGCATCCTGCAACCTTGCTATAGTTGTTTATTAGTTCAAGGACATTTTTCGTTGATTCTTTTGGATTTCTACATAGATGATCAGGTCATATGCAAGGTTTAGTATTTCTTTTTGTTTATTAGCTGTATTTTTTTTTCTTTTTAGAATTTATCGTTAGAACCTGTAGCATATTAATCCTTCAATTAGTGTTAGCATGATATGGCTGTCTCCATCCATTTACTTTTAACCTGTATTTGTTTGTATTCTTAATGTGGGTTCTTTGTAGATTATATATGGTTGAATCTTGGTTTTGATTTATTTTGACAATCTTTCTATTTTAATTGGTCGATTTAGAACATTAACTTTTTTTTATTATTATACTTTTTTACAGTACCTGTGTACAACGTGCAGGTTAGTTACATATGTATACATATGCCATGTTGGTGTGCTGCACCCAGTAACTCGTCATTTAACATTAGGTATATCTCCAAATGCTATCCCTCCCCTCTCCCCCCACCTGACAACAGGCCCCAGTGTGTGATGTTCCCCTTCCTGTGTCCATGTAGAACATTAACTTTTAAAGTGATTATTTGTAGGTGGATTAGTATCTATCATATATGTCAGTTTTCTATTCATTGTCTTTGCTATTTGTTTTATTTTTTGTTGCTTACTCTTTTCCTGCCTTTTACAGTTTAAATTTACCATTTTATAAGATTTCATTCTATCTCCATTCATAGGATATCAGTCACAATACTAGTGATTGTCATATACATTTACAACTAATACAAGGACAGTTTCAAAAAACACTATACCACTTCACGTGTAGTAAAAGTACCTCACAATAAAAAAATAATCCTAATTCCACTCTTCTGTCTCTTACATAATTGCTGCCATTCATTTCACTTGTACATAGTCATATATGTGTATATACACAAACACAAATGAGCACACATAAGTAAATACATTGCTGCTATTATTATTTTGAACAAATTGGTTAGATCAATTCAAAACAAGGAAAATAAAAGTTTTTATTTTACTTTCCCTTGTTGCTTCTTTGATTCACTTCTTTTTTTAAATGTTTATTATTTTATTTTATTTTTCCGTGAGTCGTATTTGGTTACATGAGTAAGTTCTTTAGTGGTGATTTTATGAGATTTTAGTGCACCCATCACCCAAGCAGTATACACTGCACCATATATGTAGTATTTTATCCTCACAGCCCTCCCACTCTTCCCCTCAATTCCCCAAAGTCAACCATATCATTTTTTATGATTTTGCAGCCTCATAGCTTAGCTCTTGCATATCAGTGAGAACATATGATGTTTAGTTTTCCATTCCAGTCTCATCCAGGTCACTGCAAATGCTGTTAATTCATTCCTTTTTATGGCTGAGTAGTATTCCATCATATGTGTATATATATATATGTGTATATATGTATATATGTATACATATGTGTGTGTGTGTATATATATATGTGTATATAGTTCTTTGATTTATTTCATCTTTGATTTATTTCATTTAGATATTGTACATATTTTTAGATTCTTCCCAATGTATATCATTTTTTGAGTGATAATGTAATTGGCATTATGTTTTCATTTTTATTTCATTTTATTTATTTATTTATTTTTGAGACGGAGTCTCTCTGTTGCCCAGGCTGGAGTGCAGTGGCGCGATCTCGGCTCACTGCAAGCTCCGCTTCCGATATATATATATATATATATATATATATATATATATATATATATCAATATCAATATCACGATTTCTTTATCCACTCGTTGATTGATGGGCATTTGGGTTGGTTCCATGATTTTGCAATTGTGAATTGTGCTGCTATAAACATGAGTGTGCAAGTATCTTTTTCAAATAATGACTTCTTTTCCTTTGGGTAGATACCAGATACCAAGAATAGTTTTATCAATATCAAATGAAGCAGGTTTTAGAGCATAAGATAGTACCAGAGACAGAGAGGAACATTATATATGATAAAAGTGCCAATCTACCAAGATGGCAGAGCAATCTTAAATATGATGCACTAAACAAGTAAAAGTAAAGCACTAAACGAGTGAAATAAAAACAGCTGGAAGGGAAAGAAGCAGACAAACTTACAATTACAGTTGGAGCCTTCAACACCTCCATCTCAAGAATTGATATAACAACTTTACAAAAATCAGTAACAATAGAGAAGAACTCAAGAACGTCATCAACTACTCAATATCAAATTGACATTTATAGACTACTCCACCAACATTATCAGAATACCCACCCATTCCTTTCAAATGCTCACAGAGTATGTAGCAAGAGACACTGGGCCAAAAAACAAGCCTCAACAAATTTTAAAGAATTTAGATCATAGGGTTCTTCAATCAAAATGGAATCAAACTAGAAATTGATAACAGAAGGATGACTTGAAAGAAAAAAAAGTACTTCAAAAAATAATCCATAATCGAAGAGAAAGTTTCAAGGGAAATAAAAAATATATTTAATGGAATGAAAATTACAATACAGTCTATCAAAAATTGTGCACCACAGCTAAAGTAGTGCTGAGAGGGAAATTTGTAAAACTAAATTCATACATTAGAAAAGAAGAAAATTTTCACATCAATCATACTTTCATCACAAGAACTTGAAAAAAGAAGAGCAGAATAAACCCAAATCAATCAGAGGGAAGTAAATAATCAAGCCATGAGCAGAAATCAATAAACTCTAAACAGAGAAACAAAGAAATAATGAGCAAATCAATAAAACAAAGAGCTGGTGTTTGAAAAGATCAATAAAATAGACATTTTTTCACAAGACAACAAGAAAAAAAGAAGATATGAATCACTAATATCAGGTAAAAAAGAGAGGATATTACTACAGTCGCTGCAAATATCAAAAGCATAATAAGGGAACAATTTTACACACATACATTTGATAATCAGATAAAATGGATCAATTCCCCAAGATACACAAACTACCACAACTCACCCAATATGAAATTGATAATTTGAATCGTCCTATAATTATTCAGAAAATTATATGTAATTTAAAACACCCCAAAGAGAATGCTTCAGGCCTGAATGCTTTCAATGGAGAATTTTGCTAAATTAGCACCAATTCTACACATTCTTTTCCAGAAAATAGAAGATAAGAGAACAATTTTCAGTTCTCTTTATGAAACTAGTCTTACTATAATATAAATATCAAAGAAAGATTAAGAACAGGAAACTATAGACCAATTTTCTTTCTGAATAGAGACGCTAAAATCCTTAACAAATCATTAGCAAATAGAATTTATCACTATATAAAAGGAACTACACACCATGACCAAGTGGAGTATATTCCATGGATGCAAGACTGTTTCAATATTTGGAAATCAATTTATCTACCATATCAACAGATGAATTCAATATTTGTTTATAAGAAAAACTCAGAAAAACAGAAATAGAAGGGAACTTTCTCAATTTGATAAAGGACATATATTAAAAAAACTATCACTAACGTTTTACTTAAAGATGAAAAATTGTATGCTTCTTTTCAACTTCCAAGAAAAAGGCAAGGATGTCTTCTCTCACCACTCTTTTTCAAAATAGTGCTGAAAGTTCTAGCCAGTGCAATAAGATAAGAGACAGTAAAAAGCATCCTAATTGGAAAGGAAGAGTTAAACATATCCCTTTTTGCAGTTGGCTTCAGTTTGACTGTCTATGTAGAAAATCCCAAGGAGGTGCCCAGGTGCAGTGGCTCATGCCTGTAATCCCAGCACCTTGGGAGGCTGAGGTGGGCGATTGACATGAGGCCAGGAGTTTGAGACCAGCTTGGCCAACATGGCAAAATCCCATCTCTACTAAAAATACAGAAATTAGCTGGTTGTGGAGGTGCACAACTGTAATCCCAGCTACTCAGGAGGCTGAGACATGAGAATCACTTGAACCTGGGAGGCAGAGGTTGCAGTGAGCCGAGGTCATGCCACTGCACTGCAGCCTGGGTGACAGAATGAGACTCTATCTCAAAAAACAAACAAACAAACAAAAAAAGCAAAAACAAAAAAAAACAAAAAAAAACTGCAAGGAATTTCCAAAATATTATTAGAGCTAATAACCAAATAAAGCAAGTTTACCAGATAGAAGAAATGCATATAAAATGAATTATATTTCTGTATATTAGTAATGAACACTGACAGTGAAATAAAAAAATACAATAGCACTTACAATCACCCAAAAAGAAAAAGAAAGCTATTTAGTGTAATCTAAGAAAGTAAGTACAGGACTTGTGTGCTAAAAATTACATAACTCTTATGAAGGAAGTAGAAGAAGATCTAAATAAATGGTCAAGAGGGCATACTATGTTCACTAGTGGGAATACGCAACATAATATAGACATAAATTCTCTCCAAACTGATATGCAGGGTTCATGCAATACTTATCTGATTTCCAGAAAGTTTTTTTCTAGCTAGAGACAAGATTATTCTAAAATTGATATGGAAATGTAAAAGATGTAGAATAGCTAAAACAATTTTGAAAAATAAAAACAAAGTAGGAAGAATCAGTATATCTGATTTCAAGACTTATTATATAGTTACAGTAGTCAAAACTGTGTAGTATTTGAAGGATGGAATATGAATCAATGGAACACAAAGGAATCCAGAAATAGGCCTACATAAATACGCAGTAGGCACATGTGACAAAGGTGCAAAAGTAACTGAAAGGAGGAAAGATAAGGTTGGAGCGATCAGACATCCAAAGGCCAAAGGAAGAAAAAAAAAAGACCTTGACCCAAGTGTTGCACCTTGTACAAAATTAACTCAAAATGGATCATAGACATTTTTTTTAAATGGTTTTGCTCTGGTCACCCAGGCTGGAGTGCATTGGCACACTCACGGCTTACTGCAGCCTTGACCTTCTGTGCTCAAGCAATCCTCCCACCCCAGCCTCCCTAGCTGGGACTACAGGGATACACAACCATGCCATCTAATTTTTGTATTTTTTTGTAGGGATGGGGTTTGGCCATGTTGCCCAGGCTGGTCTCAAACTCCTGGGCTCAAGCAATCCTCCTGCCTTGGCCTCCCTACGTGCTGGGATTACAGGCATGATCCACCATGTCCGGCTGAATTGTAGACTTAAATGTAAATCAGAAAATTATAAAACTTTTTTTTAAACAAAATCTTCAGGATTTAGGGCTGGAAATTTCTTAAGCTTGTCACCAAAAGTAGGATGCAGTAAAGGAAAAAGTAATACACTGAACTTAATCAAAAATTAAAATATTTGCTCTATGAAGGATCTTGCAAACAGAATAAAAGGGAAAGTTACAGACTGGGAGAAAACATTTTTAAGCCACATATTGAACAAAGGACTAGTATCTAGAATATATAAAGAATTCAAAATCTCAATATAAAAGCAAAAATTCCTACTAAAACATAGGCAAAATATATAAGGGGACATTTCACCAAAGAAGATAAACTTTTCATATGCAAATAAATAAAAAGATGTTCATAATCATGAACCATCAGAGAAATGCAAACTAAAACCACAATTAGTTGTCACTAAACACCAATTAAATTAGCTAAAATTTTAAATAGCAATAATATAAAATGCAGGATGACTCAACATTGCTGATTGGAATGTGGAATAGGACAGCCACTCTGGAAAATAGTTTGGCAGTTTCTTATAGTACCAAACATGTAACTATCATATAACACATAAATTGTATCCCTAGGCATTTATACCAGAGAGATAAAAATGCATAAACAAAAACCTGTACTCAAATATTTATAGAAGTTTTTTTCATAGTAACCCAAATGGGAAGCAATCCAGATGTGTGAATGGTTAAACTGTAATACATCCTTATCATGAAATATCCCTCAGCAATCAAAAACATACATATTATCCATATATGCAACTGCCTGGATGAATCTACAGAAAATTATGCAGACTTAAAAAGTCAACCCCAAAACGTTATGTAGCATATTATTCAATTTATATACTTTCTTGAAATGAAAAAAACTATAGAAATGGAGAATGGGTTAGTAGTTGCCATGGGTTATAGAGGTGGGGGGTAGGAGTAAAGTGGATATAGTCATTAAAAAGCAAGTAGGTACCATGTGGTGATGAAAATGTTTTATATTTTGACTGTACCGATGTCAATATCCTATTTGTGAAATTGCACTATATAGTTTTGCAAGATGTTAATGTTGGGGAAAACCAAGCAAATAGTACATAATATCACTCTGTATTATTTTTTACTATTGCATGTGAGTCTGTAATGACCTCAAAAAGTTTAATGAAAATAAGTATTACTTAAATTATCATATCCAATCAACTCTTTTCAGGAAGCCATTGTTTCAACAGAACATGAGATATTCAAATTGGCAAATGATATGTGCTTTTGGGTTATTTCCTCATATATAAAATACTGTTCTATAAAGTGAAACACATATTAGGTAAAAATTTGACATGGGCAATCTTGATTTTAATTTTTTCTGTCCATGATATTTCATAGTCTTTAAGATTCAAAGGCATGTTGCAGGAAAGATAAACAAAAAAGAACAGAGGAGCAAAATATTTATCATTGAAATTTTTTTAATTTTGAAATTATTGCTTTGTTTATAAGAAATTCAAGGAGGTTACTTGGGTTCCTCAATTATTCTAGTATTCAGTCTTCTCTATGATAGTAAGATTTATGTTTGTAAAACAATGCCACTTTTTTTACAGTTAAGGTGAAATACACCTAACATAAAATTCATTTTTGGGCACAGTGGCTAGTGCCTGTAATCCCAGAACTTCGGGAGACCAAGGCAGATGAATCACTTGAGGCCAGGAGTTCAAGACCAGCCTGGCCAACGTGGTGAAACCCTGTCTCTACTAAAAACACAAGAAGTAGCCTGGTGTAGTGGCGCATACCTGTAATCTCAGCTACTCCAGAGGCTGAGGCACCAGAATCACTTGAGTCCGGGAGGTGGAGGTTGCAGTGAGCTGAGATTGCACCAATGCACTCCAGCCTGGGTGACAGAGTGAGACTCTGTCTTAAAAAAAAATCATTTTAAAGTTAATAATGCAAGGGTATTTGGTGCATTCACAATGTTATATAATCACCACCTTTATCTAGTTTCAAAACATTTCATCATCCCAAAAGAAAAGCTTGTATTCACTAAGCAGTTGCTTCCTATTCCCATCACTCTTCTACCCCTGGAAACCACCAATCTGCATTCAGTTCTTATGGATTTACTGATTCTGAATTTTTCATGTAATTGGAATCATACAATCATTCTGTGACTGGCTTCTTTCACTTAGCGTAATGTTTTTAAGGTTTTGCCACATTTATAGCATTTGTCAATAATTTATTCTTTTTCTGCTGAATAATATTCCATTGTATGTACATACCACAATTTGTTTATCTATCATCCCTTGATGGACATTGGGAATGTTTCCACCGCTTGGGCAATGTGAATAGTGCTGCTATTAACATGCATGTACATATATTTATTAGAGGACTAGTTTTCATTTCTTTTGGATGTATACTATATTGGTCTATTCTTGCATTGCTATAAAGAAATACCTGAGACTGGGTAAATTACAATAAAAAGAGGTTTCCAACCTCTGCCCTTTACCCAGTTCCAAAGTTGCCTCCATATTTTCAAGCATCTTTATAACAATACCCTAATCCTAGTACCAATTTTTTGTATTAGTCCATTCTCACATTGCTATAAAGAAATACCTGAAACTAGGTAATTTATAAAGAAAAGAGGTTTAAGTTGCTCATAGTTCTGCAGGCATGATACAGGAGGCATGATGCTGGCATCTACTTGACTTCTGGGGAAGGCTCAGGAAACACAATTACGATAGAAGGTGAAGGAGGAGCAAGCATGACACATGGCCAGAGCAGGAGCAAGAGAGTGGCGGCAGGAGGGACTACACACATTTAAATGACGAGATCTCAGGAGAACTCACTCACTATCACGAAGACAGTACCAAGGAGGTTAGTGCTAAACCAGTCATGAAAATTCTGCTTCCGTGATCCAATTACCTCCCACCAGGCCTCACCTCCAACACTGGGGATTACATTTCATTATGAGATTTGGGTGGGGACACACATCCAAACTGTATTATATACTTAGAAGTGAAGTTGGTAGGTCATATGAAAATCCTATGTGTAACCTTTTGAGGAAAAGTCAAACTATTTTCCACAGTGGCTGCTCCATTTTACATTTCCTCCAGCAATGTAGGAGGATTTTAATTTCTCCATATCACTGCTAACATTTGTTATTTTTCCTGTTTTTTTTAAAAACTGTGGCCATCCTAGTGGGTGTGAAACGGTAATTCATTTTGGTTGTGGTTTGCATTACCTAATGAGTAATGATGTTGTGGATCTTTTAATGTGCTTGTTGGCCACTGGAGAAATATCTATTCAAGTACATTGCTCATTTTTTAATTAGATTGTGTGTCTTGCTGCAGTTTAGTTCTTTATATATCCTGGATAGTAGACCCTTATAAGATTTGTGATTTAAAAATATTTTCTTTCATTTCATAGGTTGCCTTTTCATGTCTAGATAATGTTCTTGGCCATACAAAAGTTTAACTTTGAAGTCTGGTTTATCTTTTGTTTCTTGTAGATTTGGTGTCACATGTAGGAACTCATCCCCAAATTCAAGGTCATGAACACTTACCTGTAGGATTTCTTCTAAGAATTACATTTAGGTCCCTGATACATTCTGAGTTAAATTTTATATATAACGCGAAGTAGGGGTCCAATTTTTTGTTTTAGTTTTTGTGGATACCCAGTTGTCTCATCATCATTTGTGGAAGAGACTTTTTCTCCCCATTGAACGGTCTTGTCACCCTTGTCAGAATTCAATTAGCTATAAATGCACAGATTTATTTCTGAACTGTCAATTCTATTCCACTTGTCTAAATATCGATCTTTATGCCAGTAGAACAATTCAATGTTTAGGCTACTGGAGTTTTATAGAATGTTTTACAATTGGGAAGCATATATCTTCCAACTTTGTAGGAACAAAGTTCTTACAAACTTTTAAACATTGTTTTAGTTTTTTGGGGGCCTTAGAAATTCCATGTAAATTTGAGAATTAAATTTTACACTTGGGAAATGTAATATTTTAAAATTGAGAAGCATAAATCTTCCAACTTTGCAAGAAAAAAGTTCTTACAAACTTTTTCAATGTTGTTCTAGCTATTTTGTGCCCCTAGAAATTCTATATAAATCTGAAGATTGACTTTTACATTTATGCAAAAAACAAAAAGCTTATTAGAAATTTGAGAGAAATCGCATTGAGTTGAATCTATAGATTGCTATGGGTAATATTGCCATCCTAATGGTATTAACTCTTTCAACCATTAACAAAGGAAACCTTTCCATTTTTAATGTCACTAATTTTGGCAATTAGAAAATTATGCCTAGGTAAATGTATTAGTCCATTTTCATGCTGCTGATAAAGACATATCCCAGACTAGGTAATGTATAAAAGAAAGAGGTTTAATGGACTCACAGTTCCACATGGCTGGCTAGGGAGGCCTCACAATTATGGTGGAAGGTGAAAGGCACGTCTCACATGGCAGGACACAAGAGAAGAGAAAGGTTGTACAGGGAAATTCCCCTTTATAAAACCATCAGATCTCATGAGACTTATTCACTATCATGAGAACAGCATGGGAAAGACCTGCCCCTGTGATTGTGATTCAATTACCTCCCACCGGGTCTCTCCCACAATACATAGGAATTGTGGGAGCTACAATTCAAGACGAGATTTGGGTGGGACACAGCCAAACCATATCATTTCACCCCTGGTCCCTCCCAAATCTCATGACCTCACATTTCAAAACCAATAATGCCTTTCCAACAGTCCCCCAAAGTCTTAAGTCTTTTAAGCATTAACTCAAAAGTCCACAGTCCAAAGTCTCATCTGAGACAAGACAAGTCCTTTCTGCCTATGAGCTAGTATAATTAAGAGCAAGTTAGTTACTTCCTAGATACAATGGGGGTACAGGCATTGAATAAATACACCTATTCAAAATGGGAGAAACTGACCAAAACAAAGGGGCTACAGGCCCCATACAAGTCCAAAATCCACTGGGGCAGTCAAATCTTAAACCTCCAAAATGATCATCTTTGATTCCATGTCTCATATCCAGGTCATGCTGATGCAAGAGGGGGTTCCCATGGTCTTGGGTAGCTCCACCCCTGTGGCTTTGAAGGATACAGCCTCCCTCCCAGCTGCTTTCACGGACTGGCATTCAGTGTCTGCAGCTTTTCCAGTTGTATAGTGCAAGCTGTTGGTGGATCTACCATTCCAGGGTCTGGAGGACGGTGGCCCTTGTCTCACAGCTCCACTCAGCAGTGCATCAATGGGGACTCTCTGTGGAGGCACCATTCCACATTTTCCTTCCACACTGCCCTAGCAGAGATTCTTCATGATGAGTGCCTTGCCCCTACAGCTAACTGCTGCCTGGACATCCAGGTGTTTACATACATCCTCTGAAATCTAGGTGGAGGTTCCCAAACCTCAATTATTGATTTCTGTGAACCCACAGGCTTATCACCATGTGGAAGCTGCCAAGGCTTGTGGCTTGCACCCCTGAAACCATGGCCTGAGCTATACCTTGGCCCCTTTTAGTCATGGCTGGAGCAGCTGGGACACAGGGCATCAAGTCCATAGACTGCACACAGCAGAGGGACCTTGGGCCTGGCCCATGAAAACATTTTTTCCTCCTAGGCCTCCGGGCATGTGATGGGAGGGCTACCCTCACATGCTCTGGAGGCATTTTCCCCATTGTCTTGGTGATTAGTGTTCTGTTCTTCATTATTTATGCAAATTTATGCAGCTGGCTTCGATTTCTCCTCAGAAAATGGCATTTGCTTTTCTACTGCATTATCAGGCTGCAAATTTTCTGAACTTTTGTGCTCTGCTTCCCTTATAAAACTGAATCCCTTTATCAGCACCCATGTTACCTCTTGAATGCTTTGCTGCTTAAAGATTTCTTCTGCCGGATACTCTAAGTCATCTCTCTCAAGTTCAAAGTTCCACAAAGTTCCACAATAAAAGAAAAGTTATTTTGTGAATGATTTTTAACAAAATTTGACTAATGGGCAAATGGATGGAATAATGAACCAATCATATTTGGATTTTAAAAATTGATACATTCTAAAGCTCATGCTAGATACGTCTATACATAATTGATCTTATTTAAAAACTGAAGACAACACATGGTCATGCTTTCTGTACAGTCTTCAAAATTGCACAGTTGCTAAGAAAACGTCATTTGATGAATTGAGAAAAATGAAAAACTGAAAGCCAAATTGGAAGCAGAATTTCATTCAGATCTTTTTTATTAAATATATGTGTGTATGTCTGTGTGTATCTGTGAGGGGCATAATACGTGGATAACATATATTATTTAGATCCAGTAAGTCTTTCATTATACATATGTGTGTGTGTGTGTGTGTGTGTGTATGTATTAGACTAGAGGATACATATTCAATTTTCCTAATTTGTCAACATATTTTTAAATGGATTTTTGTTTGCTCTTTTTCAGTATTATGTGGAAGCTTATGTTATTTGGGCACAATTCTTCATTTTCTTCTGTCTTTATGTGTCTAGCATGGATGGAGAAGATTAGCTTGTCTTATTGACTTTGGGCCTGGTCGTGTAACTTGAGCTCTCCAGTGGAATACATGCAAGTAGGCCAGCTCTCAGGGAGATTATGAGAAGCATTTTTGTTTCTACTGCCCATTGAGCTTTGGCATGTAAATGTCACAAGAGCAAGGCATTCCAGATGGGGTGGGGCTTCAGCCTGGGTAAAAAAATGAGAAGCTAAATGGAACAGTTCGAAACCTGCTGTGCACTTGGAGCAGAGCTGCTTCAGCTGACCTACTGAATCACAAGCAAGAAATATAAGTTTGTTGTGAGCTGCTGAGACTTTGGGGTTATTTATTACTGCACCAGAAGTCCAGTAGTGTATCTTGTACCCTGTGTATTTTAAAAAATTCTCAATCCATGATAAAGTGTGTAATTACAACTATTTTTAACAGAATTATTTTTAAACTTGTTTTGCACCAGTGAATACTCTTAGCTATTTATATAATTGGAGAGAAGCAGAGTTCTGCTTTTACAAAATTTGTTGAGGAAAGCCATACACAACAAAGTATGTTCAGAAATACAAAGATTAGAACTATATAATAGTATATGTAGTTGATTCTGAATTAATTTTCTAAAATAAGAAAAATAAAGTACAAATACAAGAATTAAGAAGTAGAACAAACTAGGTTGTAAGTGATAGAAACCTAACCATGCCATTTAGGCCACGGGAAAAAATATTTGAAGGATATTGGGTCTCATATAATTTTTGGAAGGGCAAAGAGACATCTGGTTTTCCTAAACAAATAGAATCAAGAACTCAAATGTACCAGAATACTCTTCCTCACACTCTTGTGTCTGCTTCTTTCACCGTATCATAACTTTCATTTCTCTTGCTGTGAACTGTCTTCATCAAGCTTGTTCAACCCATGGCCCATGGGACCCAGGACAGCTTTGAATGTGGCCCAACACAAATTTGTAAACTTTCTTAACATATTATGAGATTTTTTTGTGAGTTTTTTTAATTTTAATTTTTTTCTTATTTATTTATTTATTTTTGGCCATCATCTATAGTTAGTGTTATTATATTTTATGTGTGGATCAAGACAATTCTTCTTCTTCCAATGTGCCCCAGGGAAGCCAAAAGATTGAACACTCCTGATCTAAATGACAGATATGGCCATGGATACCCTCTCAAGGAATATGTTAATGCTTTGCAAACAGGGAGAGACTTTTCCTCATTCCTTTGTTTTGAAATAGAAAATTCCAAATTTAGTTCTTTTGTTTGGACCCTGTTAGTGTCTTACATTCAACTTTAGGCCAACTGGCTCTGCCTGGGGGTAGTGTAATATAACTGAAAGTCTATTGTAGAATTCCATGACTAAAAACAAGTGAAGAAAATATTCCCTAGGAGATGTTATTCACAGAAAAGAGGATGCTTCCTTGGCAGAAAAAAAAAAATAGATGACAAATTCATAGTATTTGAACAAATAACCCCAAGCCAAGTGAAAGTTTATTATATGCAATTCATATTCAAAAGTCCTTGATTAGGTTTTATGTCAGTGTGTTTCTCAATATTGTTCATGGATAATCTACATAATAATCACAGGAAAACATAATGGACCTAAGTTTGAGAATCTCCACTTTAAATTTTCTGATGCAAAAGTATTTTGTGAGATCAAAAGGAGAAAAACAAGAAATTCTGCTATCTGATGATGACATCAGCATGAAACGATCCCTTTGTTCTTCACATAAAGGACATGCAACTGTGCTTTTACATTTTCTGGTGGCTTATTTGCAATATTTGAAGTAAAATGGCTCTAATTATGTTTTCCTTTTTCTTTTCCCCTTTTAAACCTCCCTTTTCTCACAACTCACTGCACATTTATTGACTAAGACTTTCTTTCCTACTCTCCTCTATTCCTACGGATGCATTTTCAGTTTACTCTCCAACTACTTTCCATTTTCCATTTGCATTATTAAAATACAATCTACAATTCTGTATCTGAAACCCGTGGGCCCAGATGTATTTTAGAATTTTTTTTGTCCTTGAGAAATATCCCATGTATTAGTGAGGTCTGAGTCAAGGCAATACAATACTCCATATTCAAACACATTAATATTTCTGCAGTGAAACTAAGTGGGATAAATATTACAAAAAACAAACAAACATAAACCTTGTCAGTGAAGGTCAGCTTTTGCCATGAATAAGTTACCGAAACCTTGAGGTTTCAAACTGTTGATACTTGTGAATTGCAGATAAGAGATTGCCTCAATAACTAGCCTTATTTCTTGCCCTCAATATAACTTTCTGTTTCAAAGAATATTTCAAAGATGCGCATTTATTTATGAATAAATGGACATGAAGGGAAATATCATGATGGACAAAACAAAGAATGGGTACAGAGAAAGAAGGCCATCAGTCTGCAGGCTGAGTAAAATTTACTAAGTATCACTCTTTAATTTGGAGTGTTGTTATGATATGGAGGAACTGCTGACAACTTATTTCAGTCTCAGGTGTTTAAATACCCTACATATATTTGGGGGGCAAGTTGTTGAGATATTTTCCTTAAAAATCTTATACCATCTCTATTGGTGATGGTGAATTTTCTTGCATATTCTCAATACTCTGTGTATTGGCTATCTCTCTATTTCTTATCATTCTCTCCATTACCTATCTGTCTTCAATCTTATCACATCCTGTGTTAGTTGTATTTATTACCTGTGTTAGTTGTATTATTATTGCTGTGTAACAAATAACAAAAACACCTCAGTGTCATATGACAATTTGGGTTTATTGCTCACATGTCTGGAGTCATCTGGGAGTTGGCCGGGTGACTCTGCTGAACTATGCTTAACTTACATGTCTGGGCTTGCCTGGTTGTTGGCTGATCTAGACTCTTGGCTCAGGCAACTGTGCAGCTGGAGCAGCTTGGCTCTACTTCCTATGTATTCATTCTCCAACATGCTATCTCAAGCATTTTCTCATGGCAATGGCGGAGGCATAGTAAAGCAAGCCCCAGTGAACAAGCCCATTTCTAGATTCTGCTTGTGTCACACCTGCTAACACTCCATTGGCCTAAGCAAGTCATATGATTGAGCCGAAGTGAAGGGACAAATCACCCCATCCCCAGGTCGGTGGCCCAGAAATGTTACATGGCAAAGGATGTGGATACAGAGAGAAATGAAGAATTGTAAGAATCCTCACAGTCTTCAACTCTTCTCTCCTCTGGACTTCCTTGCTTAACCTCTGATACAGTTTGATATGGTCACAATTTATTTCTTTCTGTTTACAGTTCACTCCATGCAACCTCTGTCCTGGCAATCTTGAATTATTTCCCGCTCCTATATACACACCATGATTGTCTATGCTGTTCCCTTTGCTTATGGTGTTTTCTCCTCTCCCAATTTAATCCTTCAAAGTCTGGCTGAAATAATAAAGTGTACATGAATCTTTCCCCGTGTATGATAACTCTTTGTATGCAATGCCCTGTACTAACCAACAAACTGAAGGTAGGGTCAGTGCCTGCTTCATCTCAGTATTACCCACTATGCCTTGAACAAATAGGGTCATGAAAAGAGCATGGCTCACTTCATAAATAGAAGGCCCTACCAAAAGTTTATCATAGAGGAAAAGATTAGTAAAAATGTAAACTGTATGGAAAAATTTTCACTTCTTTTATGAGTTTAAAAAAAAGAAGAAAATCAGCAGAAGAGAATATATTTTACTGTTTAGTTAGGGCTTAGATCATAGCCCACATGGCATTGGGCATAAGGGTGGGAATATCATATTTTGTGAAGCCACTACAACTTGTATTCAAATTCTGAAATGATTTCACTTGATTATTTGTATAAACTGAGGTAGGTTATGGATGTTCTAAGGACTTATTTTTTCTTTTCATACATTTATTGTGAGAATTAAATGGGACTTTTAATTATGTCCCATTATATTATTTATAACTAAAATGTACATATATAAATTATGTAGGGCAACTGACATTATAGGCATTGAGAAATGTCAATTTTCATTTCCTTCTATTCGTTCGAAAGAAAGGAAGTTAAATAACACGATCAAGTAATAATTTAATCTTTTCTTTAGCAATTTCACACACTCAGTGTAACACACATTTACATTAATTTCCTATTCTTTACCAGCTCTCTGGAGAGTCCTGTGGCACACATACAGGGAAGAGTGAGGCACCTCAACCTCTGCACACCAATGATTTGTGACAATGGTGGTCAGCTCCTGTAACATCCTCTGTCTCAAGTATCTGTCTCATAGTCCAGATGGTTGGCAAAACATAATCTGAAAACCTACGAAGTTGCTTTTTATATCTGGAGATGGGCTGATGTTTGATGTCCTGATCTAGTACATCAAAATCTTGTGGAGAAACCACGAGTCTGTCTCTTGTCTGCATAGAATTCAAGTGGACTGCCCTTGGGCCAAAATGATTTTGCAGCTTCAGAAGCAAAAAAAGAAGAAAACTGACAGTGGCTCCAAAGTGACCCTAAACCCACTCTGTACCTTGTTCTGACATTGCTCAGCTACCCAGAGGTTTGATTTTAGTCTTCTAGGCCTCAAAACAACCCTCTAATGGCCCTATGAAAGTGATTTATGTGCAGTACAGGAATAACACAATACCAGTTCTGTGGCCAAAGAGAAGTGAATTGTTAACCTTGGTGCTTTGGGTTTTGGTTTGTCAATTACGTAGAGAAGCTCCCGACAGTATAGTTGTTGGTCAGAAATGAAACACCTGGCAATCTGCCACATCCTGTGGAGTTGAGATCTTGCTTTTGATTTGAAAAGCAGCATCATATTTGTATTTCCACTTAAGTGACTTTCAGCTGCTTTTGAATCACCTGAAGTTGAATGAAAGTATATTTTACCAGGTGTTTTCTAAGCAAGATTGCTTAGAAATCTGCCAGAGTTACTGGGAACTGATTTGTTCATATGTGTAATCATGAATGGGCTCACCAATTTCTAAAAACAAATGATAAAAATAGAAAGACATAATAAGTCTACAGTAAACTAATTCTTTATACTTTTTCATGAGAACAGGTTAAATCTATACTTAGGATGGGAAAAAGCAAAGACGTATTCATTTTATTAAGCCATACCAAACAATGAAAAACCAGGAAGGAAGTAGTTATTATTATAAGAGAGCTCTACTGTCTGTTAAAATACAAATAAGAAGAAGCACTTTTGTGTGTGTGTGTGTGTGTGTGTGTGTGTGCGATCCTGCATATGGCAGCTTGATAAAGTAAAAGACATTGATAGTAGGCTTAGCTCATGATTCTCTGAGATAGAGATTAGCATAGAGAATCTAATTAATTAGAAATGCTCTTATGATGAACATTTGTGGAAATGAGGGAGAAAGAGCAGAACTGGATAGAGGGATGATACAGTTTGAATGTTTGTCCTCTCTGAAACTCATGTTGAAACTTAATCCCTAATGTGGCAGTATTAAAAGATGGGACTTTTGAGAGGTGATTGGATCATAAAGGCTCTGTCTTTTTCATGAATAAATTAATTCATTCATCAACTAATGGGATTAATAGGTAATGAGTTATCATGGGAGTTGGCCTGGTGGCTTTATAAGAAGAAGAAAAGAGAGCTCAGCTAGTACATTTAGCTCCCTCACAATGTGATGCCCTTTGCCACCTGAAGACTCTGCAAGCATTCTCGCCAGCAAGAAGATCCTCACCATATGTGACTCCTTGACCTTGGACTTCTCAGCCTCCATAACTGTAAGAAATAAATTTATTTCCTTTATAAATTACCTAGTTTCAGGTATTCTGTTGTAAGCAACAGAAAATAGACTAAGACAAGGGAGATTGCAGTTCCAGTGAAGCAGTAGGGGGTTGGGGCTAGAATGGCCCCTTGGAGTTGGCCCAGCTATATCTCTTTGTGATCAGTCATTGGATGTAGGCTGCACTGGAAAGAGTCATGATCTAGGACAAGCCTGGTTTTTCAGCTAAAGCAGTCTCCCCGAGGAGGACTGGCAGTAGAAGTCGTCTTCTAGCAGCATTACCCAGCAAATGAAGGGATAAGCCTTTCAGTCCTAAAGGGGGTTTTAGATATCACAGGGCCCAACACACTACTTCACCAGTTTATTTTTTTTCTTACAACTCAAGTTTCTAGTCCATAAGAATTACTTTTGTCACCTCCTGTCCCCAAGCACCAAGCAATAATCAAAAGTGCCAGATTCATGGATAAGTTTGCTCTTTTTATTTTTACAAAATGATATTGATTCAAGCCTATCACTTTATATTAATTGAGTATTTATGTGCTCATTGAATTCAGCAAATACGCAAAGCATTGCGAACATTTTGGTGAACAAAACAAAGTCCCTGTCCTCCTGGAGCTTATGGCCAACCCTCCCCATTATTGACACCAACTTATGAAGTGTGTCTTCTGTAGAATAGCTTGTGATTTTGGATTATGGCAGAATAAAAAGAGGGCCTCTGAAAAACAACACTGTTTTTCAATTTTCCATCATCAGACTAATAATCGTGGGCATGAACATACTTATGATTTACAATAAAAACATAAATCCAATTATACAGTTTTAAATTAAATTTGAAGGCTAACATGTAGCCCATGACTGTCTACTTTTATTGCATATTCATTTCCTGTTTTGCAGGTATTAGTTTGAAAAAATACTTTGAAGGAGTAGGAATTTATCCATGAAGTGAAAAGAGACTAAAGTAACTAATTCAAATGAGGAAGTTTTTTTTATTAGTGAATTATGCCATTCTCACATTCTTCAAACTTAAATGTTTAACCGCTCTAGCTAAATTGATCTCATTCTATTGTAATTTTGACGTGAATAAGTGAAGAGTAGAATGGAAATTATAGGTCAGAAATTATCTCCTCTAAGTAGCATGATTCTTAGTTGCTGTTCTGTCATTGTACCCATGTTGTGGCTCAAGGGTTTATTTAATAACTGCTCGATAATGACAAATGAGAAGGACATTATAATAGATGTATTTAATGCCAGTAGAGAAGTCTGTTTTCATGAGCACCCTTTTGGTTACTAGTGTTATATAACAAACTGTCTCCAAACTTACTGACTTATAGCAACAACTGCTTATTGCTCATGATTTTGTTGGTCAGAAAACCAGACTGGATTCAGCAAGGGAAGTTTATTTCTGCTCAAGAATATATGGGGATGACATGACAACTGGGGACTGGAATATTCTGGAGGCATCTTTGTTCCAATGTCTGGCACATGGTCTGGTATGACTCTTGGATCACTGATCGGAGTGCCTGTCGGTGGCTTTTCCACATAGCTTGGTTTCCTCAGACATGGTAGCAATAGGGTAATTGACCCTCTAATGAGATAGTTTAGGACTCTAAGCATGAGTGTTCTAGTGGATATGAGGCCTTTCATATTCTAGCCTTACAGTAAAACACCTCATCCCTCAATTTATCAGTCGAAGCATTCACGAGCCTGCCCAGATGCAAGGACAAGGATGTAAACTGTGTCTCTTCATGGGAGCAGTCCTGATATCAAAAAATTTGTCCCCATGTTAAAAAAAAATTTCTGCAGGTATTGTAAATCCGAAATAGAGAGCTGTAGAAAAAAATATTCTGCATCATGTAAACCATAAGGAGCATGATATTGAGGAGAAAGCGAATAATGCAATTTATCTCTTTACACTCATGACAACCCTGTGCAGTAAATCTCACCATCCTTATTTTGCAGTTGTGCCAAGTGAAGCCAAGTAAAGATGAGGGACATAAGCAAACTCTTGCTGCTCATCTTCTTAGAGAAAGTTGGAATTTTGGTTTCTGATGCTGAATCTCTTGCTTTTTCCACTCCTGCATTCTGATCTAATTCTGTGATGTCTTGCAGCAGGGTAGAAAAAAAGTGATTCATGTACATTCTGGAGACAATAACATAAGTAGAAATCAAAAGACAGTTGGTGTGAGTTATTCAATGTTTTTGGACACAGTTTTTTCAACTCCAAATTGAGAAGACTTGCCTTGAGATCCATGGAACATGGTTTATGGGAGATTTATGAGAAAAAGTTTTATTCGATAGGGAAATAGCTTTGGGAATTCTTGCATTTCATATTTCATTTTTGGACAATATACTGAAATATCTCAGCAAGACTCCAGTAAGAGAAGAAACCTTTTTATAAGATCACCTATTGGTATACCATGGAATAATTTTCTATGGACTAACTTCGGACACAGAAAGTGAGATGGGCTCTAATGTATGATTCTAAGATTTTACATCCACTTAAAAATTCACATCAAAGTCAGTGAATAAAAAAAAACGTTTTAAAGTGTGTGTGGTTGGATCATATCCTCATGTTCTTAAAGAATCTTTTCTGCTAATCTGTCTATTTTTATTGGAGTATTTAATTTGTTTACTTTTTATTATAATGATGGATAAGATAGGATTTATACCTGTCATTTGCTGTTTGTTTCCCGTATGCATTATGTCTTTTTCTTCCTGTGTTTCTGCACTGTTGTCTTCTTTTGTGTTAAACAGACATGTTCTACTGTACCATTCAAATTCCTTGCCGCTTCTCTTGCCATACTTTTTTTGATATGTTCTTAGTGATTGTCTTGGGATTAAAATTAGCATCCTAATTTAAGATGATCTAGTTCTTATTAATACAAAATGGATCTTAATATTGTACAAAAATTTTGCTCCATGATATCCCCATTCCTCCTGCTCTTCTTTGAACTATTATTGT
Organism: Homo sapiens; assembly: GCF_000001405.40. Taxonomy (NCBI): domain Eukaryota; kingdom Metazoa; phylum Chordata; class Mammalia; order Primates; family Hominidae; genus Homo; species Homo sapiens. Next base: position 7,766,737 of record NC_000020.11, on the reverse strand, counting down.
CATATAAATTACATTTCCTTTATTATAAATTCACTAATACAAATTTATAATTATTACATTATGAAATTGTCTATTAAATCAGATAGGATAAGAAAATAGTTCAAACAAAAATACTATTTTCCATATTAACCTATGTAGTTAACTTTACCAGTGCTCTTTACTTCCTCATGTGTATTTGAGTTACCATCTAATATACTTTTATTTCAGTCTGAAGGACTCTCTGTAGTATTTCACTTAGGGCAGGTCTGCTAACAAATTCTCTCAAATTTTATTCATTTTGGAATATCCTGAATTTTTTTCATTGTTGAATGAAAGTTTTGCTAAATATGGGATTCTTTGTTGACAATCTTTTTTCTTTCAACACTTTGAGGGTGTCATTCCAGTCTTTTCCAGCTTTAGTGCTTGTGTTTCAAAGTCAGCTGTTAATTTTATTGAGGATTGTTTGTCTGTGAGGTCATCTTTTTCTTGCTGCTTTCAATAATTTCTCTTTCATTTGTTGTTGTTGTTGTTGTTGTTGTTGCCTTTTGTCAATGTGTCTATAGTGTGTGTAGATGTGGATCTTTATCTTTACGAGTTTATTGAGGTTTTGGATGTATAGATTAATGTTTTCATCAAATGTGGGGATTTGACCATTATTGTTTCATTTTCTTTCTTCTTGTTTCTCATTTTTTTCATTTTCTGGGACTCTCATTGTATGTATGTTGGTATGTTTCACGGTGTCCTACAAATATGTTCAGCTCTAGTCATTTATTCTTTATTCTTTTTTAAAATTCCTCAGACTAATTTTTTCTGCTATATATTCAAGTTAGTTGATTCTTTTTATCTGACACCTCATTTCTTAAACACTTGAGTAAATTTTTGATGTTAGTTGTTGTCTTTTTCAACTCTAATAGAATTCTTATTTGGTTATTTTAAAATATGATTTGTTTCTTTCTTATTAGTCTCTATTTGGTAAGACATCATTGCCATAGTTTCCCTTAATTCTTTAGAAATGGCTTTTTAAGTTATTTTAAAAGTATTTAACATAGCTGATTTAAAGTTTTTGTCTGCTAAATCCAGTTTTGGTCTGCTTAATTTAATGTAATTTAGCTTAAATTTAAATTAATGTAGCTTAATTGCTAGCTTATTTTTTTTTTAAGTTTTGGTTTCTATTTTTATTTTTTAGGCTTGGCTTCCTAGGAGTTACCACTTGGTCAATATAATTTAGTAAGAAGCAAGTAATTGGTCAAAAGATTTTCATAAATGCTTTACCTTTAGGTCTTTTACCGTTTGCTAAAGGGATGTTTATAAGACAACTGTAGGTTTCACTTCCTGCTTGTGGGAGTCCTCAAGGTCAGCCAGAGGTGAATGACTGAGGTCTTATACTTCCCCAGGTTTTTAACTATACACAGTACTGGGTATGCAAAAGCTCTTCCAAATCCCCAGGAATATGTTGGAGCTTTTCAAAATTCCCTCTGGTCCTCAAGTTCTTCAGACTTCCTTTTCGATTTGTAGCCAGGATCTAGCTTTTCCTAAATGGAATCACAGCTTTAGGCATCTACAATGTTGCTAGCAGATTGTGATTCTTTCCACTAATCTCCAAAGATAGGGCTTTTCTTTGCTGAGTTGTGGTCTGAGTGAAGTAAAATAGCCACACCAACCTGGAAATAGAGATTTTTCTGGGAAATTACTACTTTGGACAAAATATTGACAGTGCTTTGAGGATGGGTCTTTTAAAAGAGCTCCAAAAGATGCCAGTCCTCTTTTTCTGTGAGGCTTCTGGCTTTTCGTGGCTACTGTGCCACTGCGCGGTTGAGAGAGAGTGTGGTGGCAAGTTAAATGCCACACAGTCTGAGGTCTTACTGAGATTTAGTCATTCCTTTTAGATAAGAAATTTTGTTTGTTGGTGGTTTTGTTTAATTTCAAGAGTTCTGAAATTATTGGTTTTACTTGATTTGTCAGAATTTTCATTGTTTTTGTAGGGGAACAGGTTCATAGACATCCTCACTTTATCCTTTAATAAACTCATCTAATGCTGTTTTTTTTTTAAACTTCATGTTGATATGCATTGGTGTGATCTTTTTATTTTATTATCCTTTATTGGATTTTGCCACTTAGAAATGTATGTCCTTTACCTCTGGTAATATTTCTCACATGATTTTTAAAATACTTTCCCTTTCTCACTTTTCCTTTTTCTCTCCATCTGAAATGTCCACTTCTTATATTAATTTCCTAAATCTCTTACTATTTATCTCATATTTTTTGTTTCTGCTCTCTTTTTTCTATATTTTAATAAGTTAATAAGATGCATGTGGGCAGCTTTCACATTTGGGCTTGAGGACTATTTCACAAAGAGCAATTTGTCATATTAATGCAATTTTGAAATTAAAATGGTTAATTACAGTATAACAGAAAGTGTACTCACCACTGTAACTCATAAGCTTAGTTGATATTTACCTTCTTGAGCTACTTTTGGATGAGTGATTTTGGTAATTATATTCTAAATTTCTAAAAATTATTTATCTTCCATTATTTAAAAAAATACTCTTCTTGTTTTATGAATATAACAATTTCTTATTCTTCACTGTGCCAACCAACTAACATTTTTTATAAAGTTTTGCTTTATGTTTTCTGGACTCCCTAAAATGTCTATTTTTTTTTCCTGCTTATTTTGGTCTCTCTTTTTTAAGTTGGGAGCATATTCCAGTGTCTGGTGGTCCTTGTTTGCCTGTTTCACATTAAGAGTGAGACCCTAAAACTTACTGGCAACTTTGCATGCTTTGGTGGGCTTTTAGGCTGGTGGGATTGCATTCGAGTGATTATTTGGACAGTGAGCAGATCATTTAGCTAGGGCACTCATGCTAGTATGCAAACAATATTTTTTATTGAAGCCACTGAGTTTCGTTAGAGAATAAATTTTTTACCACTTGCATGGGAGCTAGAAATCTGGTTTCCATCATCTTATATACAGACTTTCATTAGTAACCAACTTATTGTTGAACCCTACATCTTGACTCTTCTGTCTACTTTAACCACCATACTGGTATCTCTGAGTGCCACCCCTTTCTAGGGATCTTCTGGTAAAATTATCCCTCCCATTTTCCCTATCTCCTCTGCATCTGCCAACTCAGTTATCATCCTTCATCTATTTTCTCCCTTCAAAACTTGTTGAAATCTTTTATCTGTTGATGAAGACTCTCTTCTTCTGTTCTCTTTGCCCTTGACTGATAGCATTTTATACCTTACTCTTATTTTAGGGGGGCTTTAAGAGAAAATAAATCATCTTCAGATGGAAACCTTTCACATTTGATTTTATGAGCAAGACTTTTGGGATACTTTTTATATTAGTCTTGTCATGAACAATTATCACATTCCAACATGTGGGCAGCTTTCACATTTGGGTTTGAGGAATATTTCACAAAGAGCAATTTGTCATATTAATGCAATTTTGAAATTAAAATGGTTAATTACATTATAACAGAAAGTGTATCATAACTGTAACTCATAAGCTTAGTTGATATTTACATACATAGGCATCCACTTACCACCCAGATTAAGATGTAGACTTTTCCAGCATCACAGAAGGCTCTGTCATGCTTCCTTTCTGTCAATACTCCCCTCAAACACAACCACTCATCTAAATTTTAAGGCTTTAAATTATCTATATTTGTTCTTGGACTTTGTATAAATGAAAACATAAAGCATGAACTCTTTTATATATGGCTTATTTGACTCAACAGTACGTCTACAAGATTTGTCATGTTGTTATGTGACACATTAATTAATTGTTTTATAATACTTCATTATATGAATGTGCCACCGTTTATCACTCTATTGTTGATGAACATTTATGTTATTTTCAGTTTTTTTCCACTATGCAGGAACCTGAAATAAACATCCATATACAAGTTTGAAAAAAGTATTTTATAAGAGCGTTGGTATATACATACCCAGGTAGCAAAAATTAAAACCCCAAAAGGAAGAAATGGATTTGATACAATGATACCAAAATGTGTGATTATCATATGAGGGAGTGAGTGTGATGTGTATTAGCTGGTATGGAGGGCAGAAATGTTGAGTGTTTTTGAAGATTTGGAAGAAAGCTCTTTCCTAAGAAATGAGATAAATATTATGAACTAGATAAGTATTTTGAATTATTGCCGTCTTGCTAATCAAGGTGTGATTATGCAGTTCTCTTTCTCTGATGTTCCAGCTGTTCAAATTTTCAAGTGAACTGAATGAAATAAAGCAGATACATCATGAAATTGATGATAATCTATAGCATTTTAAAAGAGTTACAATTTCACCTAAGTACCACATAAGTGGTTTGTTTAAACATCTCGGTTATATTTTATGAGTTGGGTTTCTTGTATAACTACGAGGGAAGTGAAGCCATTAAGTCTTGGTCTTTGGCACTGTCACTGGTATTTCCATTAGTTTGTCAAATTAAAGATTATATAATGCTGTTAAAATGGCTAGTTGTATTATACCAATTGCTCTAAAATGTAAATATGTAAAATGTTTTATTTCCCTGTCTAAAATGCTCAGATCAACATATTCATGTAAGACATTGGTTCTCAAAGTATGTTCCCCGTGTTAAAAGCCTCAGCTCAGCATCACTTGGGAACTCGTTGGAAATACAAATCTTGGGGCTCCCCACAAGACCTACAGAACTGGAAACTGTGGGGCTGGGACCCAGCAGTCTGTATTTTAACATGTCCTCCAGGTAGTTCTCATGTATATTAAAGTTTGAGAACCACTGGTTTAATACGTTACTTTTTCATCCTGGTTGTGCATTTAAATAGGACTCCTGGGGGTTACCAGTGGATGACCCCCAGGAATTCTACTTAAATGATCTGAGGTGGTGTGAGCAATGGAAATTTTCAAGTATCCTGAGATGATTCTGGTGTGTGGCCAAGGTTGAGAATCATTTATTTAACACAATCCAAAGAAATAGCATCCTAGGTTTACTCAATTTTGGCAACTGGATAGAATGAGCTGGAAGCTATCGTTTTGCATTTTGAGATAGGTCTTTGATATAGTTCCTTTCTTTATCTGAGTCTAATTAAGAATATACTGCGCCTCCAGAAAGTAAAGGGACCATTGATTGTTAAAAGTGGCTCCTCTTGTTACAGTTTCATAGAAAACTCTTCCGTTGAGAAAATAGAAGTGGCTCATTCAGTCGCATGTATGAAACAAATATTGTAAAATGAGCCTATTGGCTTAATGAGGAGCTTGAGTTAGAAAGGAAAATCAATTCTGGATCCTGCTAGGTACAGAGAGTCTGGCGGGAGTGCTACTCTGTCTGTATTTTTAATGACTTGTTCTTCAAGGTGAGAACATGCTATAGGCTTCTCTTATCCTCACATTCCTCATTTAAACCAAGACTCAAGCAATAAGAACCTGTGTTTCCTTTGTATTAGATTGTTTTGCTTTCCCATAACCCTCTGGCTTTGGAGGTGCTATTTATTTGTAGAGCATGGTAGGATGGGGACCATAGATACTCTGAAAGTCAAGATGTGCAGAAAGGTCCATTCTCTGCTAATGAGTTGATACTAAAGTCACAAAATGGCAAAGCATGTTTACAAAGAGGTGAAGACCTTTGTTGTTCTGGACCCCTCTTGGCTTCAGTAGGGATGGAACCATGTTTGAGAGGCTGAAGAAGAAACCCAGAGCTAGCAAAGAAGACAGGGTTTATTGTGAGGACTTTACATATAACATAGTCCAGTGGTGGTGGGCTGGACAAGAGAGAACTACCATTTCTAAAAAGCATGCAGTTTATATAGCATTTTCACTTAGCACCCTCCCCCTAACAGCCTCCAGCTGGAAACCTTCATGTAATCCAAAACAAAGGGCTCAATCCCCTGTACGGCCTGCATTCCATGGGATGGGCTAGGGATTTAGATGTTCCTCATAGATAAGGAATGAAACTCTGGATTGGCCATTCCTGGATTCCTTAGCTTGAACTCCAAATGCACATTCTTCTCAGACCATAGTCTCATTCTCAGGGTATGCTTAAGTAGTTATTGCTGTCACATGCATCTGCTATACAACCTCCAACTACAACCTCCCTGAATTAAGATGAAAATTTGCTAAACTAAAGGTATGTTGATTCTCACCCTCATAACATCTCCTATTAAGGTGAAGAGAAAGTTTTGAACAAGTGTGAAAGAAGAAATTATTTTGTAATTTACAAGAGCTTTATTCAGAAATGTATTTTGCTGAGATAATCTTGGAAAGTTATCATTGCCAGGAAGCCACAAGCAATAAATCCTGCTAAGATTTTGCACAGCAAAGCAGTCTGACATCTCTGTCACAACAGCAGCATAATTTCCTAAGACTCTGAATGTCCAACTTGCTTTCCTTTCTCTCCCATAATGCCTCCACCCCCAATGGCCATAGCTAACTCTACTAAAGCTCTGAGTGATGTAGGCTGATGAGGGAAACAGAATGCCATTGCCCTGCCTTTTGCTGGATAACTTCAGTCTTTTGTGAATATCAGAGATCTAGTCAGGATGTTGATCAAAACGATCCAATGTCAAACGCCTTGAGATTTTCTCTTTTCTGGGTCTAGCAGTGGTTATATTAATGATGAAGATCCAAGGAGACAAGACAGTGGACTTTATCAGTTTTCCCTGTTGGAAATTCAGCCATAATTTACCTGGGTACAGATTTTTCTCTGGCCAGAGATCCTCATAGGCATTATGTGAATGTTTGTAAGTTATATAATCATAAAAATGGTAGTGATGGGATTATTTACATAAGCAGATATTGACTGCCTGTGATTGTGCTGGGCTTCAGAGGTATAACTTCTTATTTTCAGTTATTTAGTTGAGTTGGAGTTAGTGTAGAAATCCAGAAATTATGCTAATATAATTCCTTCAAATATGGGATGACCACGAGATAGAAAAATCTGATGATAATCTTAGCTTAATACTACTGGACTTCCCCAAATATTAGGCTTTTATTCTACTCCCTATCCAAGCTTCCCAGTGACTCTCGCTTTTGGGTTTTACAAGTGTATCTCAAAGTGAAGATGTTCTGACTCAGTGTAGAAGTTGATATGGTTCAAATCAACTCCGATGTGTTTTCCATCAGCATCTAGAAAATGTTATTCCAAAGTGACCTCAAATTTTAAATATTTGTAGGATTTCCTGGAAATGAACACATTTGAAAGAAAATATACTAGGTGGCAGGGCTGAAAAGCTGATGTTTTGGCTGCTTTTTTGATAAACTGGGAACTGAGAGAGTTGGATTTCCCTGGAAGTTCTAGAAGGACGGTGGCTGACCTGGGCCTTATTTTTACTTCTGATTAAGTAGTTTTTCTAGTAGATAGCTGCTATAGCAAAGTATTTGAGAGAAAACCCAACCATTTGCCCGTCCAATTGCTCTAGACTTACTAACATTTCTGTTGTAAGACTCTGGCTGCAATTTATTTTAAATGAAAAAAGTCCCGATATTTTAACATAGAGTACTAATTCTTTCCCAACCTTGTCAGCATAGAAAAACATGGGCCTTGGGAATGCTAGTTTCTGTCCTCTTACCAGCAGCTGGGTGGTCTAGCCCAGACCGTTTATTAAACATTGTTGAAGCCCATTGCGTAAGGATAAACACTTCTTGGAAGGAGCAGGAGTCAGGTAGTAGAAGCTGCTGTATCCCATGAATGAACGTGGATATTTGTATCTCCATTTAAAGTAGTCTGTTTGTGATGATCCTGTAAAAAGAACAATATGCCTCTCTCCAATGATGTCATGATTTCTGAAAAAATAATACCTTGCCTCTGGTTTATTTGTTATTATTATTATTTTATGCTCCAAACAGTTGTCCCTTTGGGCACTCTCAGGTTGTTTGTGGAGGGGGTTAATGAGTGAGGAGTGCCCCTAGGTGAGTATAAATCTTTCGCTTCTTACGACACAGCAGAAGGTGGAGTCCTATTCCTCTGATTCAGAAGTTCTGGTTCCTGGCCCCTGTTCTAGGGTGAACTGCTTAATGTCTCTCCATCTCTTGACTCCTTCACCAAAATGAGGACGCCAGTGACTCTTTTTAATTGCTCAGGAATGTGACATTTGAAGATAATACTTGAAAAAGTGGTGGTGGTTTTTTGAGAAAAGATTCTATGTAAATACCAAATGATAATAAAATGATTAAAACTTCAAGCATCTCGAGTATGGGCAGAAATAATTTAGGATGAAACCACATCTAATGGATATTTCACTAATGCTATTTTCTCCACTATGTTTATCTTTGATGAATAGAATACAGTCGAATACTATACAAGTGCATCACATCTCTGCAGTGGGTACTGGAAGTCAGGGGTAGGGAGAATGGGGAGGGGAGGGGATGGATTTTTACATTTCCTGTGGGAGTTGGGTGATAGCAAAAATACTAGTAGATCATGGCTTTTGCATTTCCCTAATGATAACTAACTTAATGGGAGCCTTCCCACACCAGAGATTTTTTTATATTGTTGTGTGTTTTATAGCATTATAATTATTTGTGAACTTGCTTTTATTTTCTTTTGGACTATCAATTCTTATTATATAAGGAATGTGTTTCATTCATCATAGTAGTTGCAGCATCTAGCCAAATATCCAGCACATAGCAGGTGCATAAGATGAGTTTGACAAATTAAAAATAATGTTGTCTTTCATTTAAGGGCCCAGACTATTTGTTAGATTCATTTCTAAACAATTTTACAGGTGATAACATGGGAAATCCCCACTACAGTGATGGACACACATACCATTAGCATTCTGCAGTGCAAACATAAAAGAGATTATAGGAGAAATCAGAGAAGTGGCACAGTTTGCGCAATCCTCAGATTTTCATTATCCTACTGCTTAAGCATGGCCAATGGTTCTGCAGAGAGGAGCCCTGTCCTCAGTGTGTTCTACTTCAATGGTTTTCAAGGTATACCTTGGATTAGCATCAGCATTACTTGAAAACTTGTTAGATATGCAAATTATCGGGCCATATTCAGACCGACAGACTGAAACTCTGGGATTGGGGCCAGAAATCTGTGTTTTATCAAGTCTTCCAAGTGGTTCAATGCACACTGAAGTTTGAAAAATTATGATTGTACACAATTGTGGTGGGAGTCAGGGTTGGGAGAGAATATGCAGGGAACATCTATGAGATTACGAAACAATGGACGCTTTCTTCTGGGGTAAGTGGCTATGTGAGAGGTGGGTAGAAGGGGCTGAAGCTGGTATCAGCCTGTTCTTCTATTGAGATAACTGAGCTGCTGAGACCGCTCTCCACTAAGCTCACCAGAAAGTGAGAAGAAAGAGTCTCCAGGGCCATTCACATTCATCCCTCATCAGGGTTGTCCTACTATCATGGCTTAACAGGTGTGGAAAGTGAAGCCCATGGTGTATGTAACTTGCCCCAGGGTATCTAGTTGATGGTGGTGAAGTCCAATTCAAACCTACACAGTCTCCCTCAAGATCAGTGTTTATCAAAATTGGCAGGTATCAGAATCACCTGGGGCACTTGGTCAACACAAGAGGGCAGGCCCTGTTCCACCTCAAGAAGCCTGGGCCTGTGTTCTCTATTAGGTCTCCAGGTGGTTCTGGTACACCCTAAAGTTTGAGAAGTGCTGCTCTAGAGCATTAGTTTTCAACACTTTCCAGGAGCATTGAAAAAACACAAAGGCTCAGGTTATCCTCCAGACCAATTATACCAGAAACTCTCTACATGGAGCTTTGGCATCAGCATTTATCAAAGCTCCCAGGTGACTTCAGATATAACCAGCATACGTGAGCAACCACTGCCCCTAGAGTCCACGCACCTAACCTATAGGCTGCAGCTACCTATTAGTGATGGTGATATTTCTAAAGCACCTGGTGCAATGCTGACTGGTAGTAACATTTGGTCAATGTTGGATGATCCGATATTTCCTTATGGTCTTTTACTTCTCAAACTGTTCTCCTCCCCAGAATAGATCTTAGGAAAAGTTTTGTAATTCTGAGGTTTGTTCCTAGCAACTGCTCACCTCTCCTCCCTTTGGTTCTCCCCTTCTTTCTGGAATATCTTGCAATCTGGACTTACCTATCACTCCCTGTTCTTTGAGGCTTTCTTACTTGAGCCAGAAACCCCTGCCAGATCCTTCTTTACTCAGGTTTTCAAATACTCTTTTTTCCCTAAAATTAACTTTCCTTAATGGAAGCATGATATTAATCATTATTGGTTTCCCCAAGTGTTGCCTACAGACCACTTGTACCAAAAGTACCCCTGGAATGCTTGATAAAGTGCAGGTTCCTGATTCCTCTACAATTTTTGTAAATCAGAATATGTGAAGCTGAGCCTCAGAGATCTGCCTTTTAATAAGATTTTCAAGTGATCTTTTTTCACACCTCAGTCTCAGGTTGATGCCTGTCAGCCTAGCACAATGTCACATAGACTGTAAATTTCTATAGACTTCTGCTGAACTCTCTAGAACAAGGAGTTAATCGTGTCTGATGAAGTAATGTCTCCTAAGGTGCTACTGACTGGTAGTTGCAGGTGTGAAACTTTTTCAGCACTCTTTACATTTAACAAAAATGGCTTAGGGCTACCAGCCTTGATTCCTTACTACCAAGGACTACTGTGCATGCTCTTTCAGAAAGGTCTCCCAACAATGCTCTTAAATCACATTTATTTATTACTATTTAGTACCCAGATTAATACTACAGCAGACCTTATTGTCCTCCATCCACTACCCGCCAAAGGGGGGCTCAGGGACATAGCAGGTGTCTTCCATTTCCTGGCAGCTGTGTGTCCTCCACCTGCAGCCCAGAAAATCTGGCTCCTGCATTTCTAAATATTTTTAGAGTGTTCTTATTACCAGTTTCTGGGATAGCATAATAAGGAGGGCTTGCGCTATATTTGGAATTGATGGTTTTCAAAGACTCAATTTCCAAATCAAATACCTAAATTGGCACCCAATTCTTAATTACCCATTGATTCTCAAAATACCCCATGAACTCCACCAAGTAGAAACGGGAAATGAAATAAAACATGCCATCTGTCTACCGGACGGATGCTATTTGAAGGAGTGGTTTCAAAATTTCACTTTGGTTTTAAAGATTTGTTACTTGGAAGAAGCTATGTACTTGGCACTATTTTATTTTGATGGAAAAATAATTGTAGAGTATTAGTGTTTTTCAAGAGAGTTTATTTTACCGAAGCTTCATGCTCACATTTTTGTTTCCAAATCCAGACAAAATTTTCTACATTTGACAAGTATCATGTGAAGATCAACGTTCCATTTTAAGCATCTTGCATGATTGATTGGATCCCTAAGTCTCAAGCTCTCAACCTTTATTGTGCATCAGAATTTACCCGATACATTTGAAAATGTTTGCATCCCAGGTCCTACACCTAGATCTTCAGATAAAACTGGTCTTTAGTGAGAGCTAGTCACATGTATTTAAAAAAAAAAATCTTCCCAAGTGAGTCTAAGGGAAAACCAGAGTAGAATAGCAGACCAGAAATGAAGTGTTTGAAACAAATTAATCCGATGATCAGGATTATGGACTTTTAAATTTGTTTTATAACTCTTTTTGGAAAAAAAACCCTTCATTTTAACTTTTCCTTCATTGTTTCAATTTTCTATGTAAATGTCAATTACATCATCTTATTTTTGGAACAAGATGAGCATAAATATTTTTTAGAGTGGAAGCAAATAAAACATGAAAGAATTCTGATTCCTAATGGAATTAAGAGAATGAACTTAAACTACAGTGTATATCAACAAGGCAGATGGAGGTTTAATAATTTTTTTTTTTTGAGACGGAGTCTCACTCTGTTGCCCAGGCTGGAGTGCAGTGGTGTGATCTTGGCTCACTGCAACCTCCGCCTCCTAGGTTCACGCCATTCTCCTACCTCAGCCTCTCGAGTAGTTGGGACTACAGGCACCCGCCACCATGCCCAGCTAATTTTTTTTTATTTTTAGTAGAGACGGGGTTTCACCACGTTAGCCAGGATGGTCTCGATCTCCTGACCTCGTGATCTGCCTGCCTCAGCTTCCCAAAGTGCTGGGATTACAGGCGTGAGCCACTGCGCCCGGACAATAATTTTTTTTTATATCACAAAGATTTACTGAGAATTTTAAGTGCTAGACATTGGGCTTTGGCTGTCTCCATTTTGGTAGATGACATACTTGGTTAGGGTTCTTTGGTTGTAAGCAACGGAATTAAATTTCACTAACTCAAGCAGAAAAAAAATTATAGGAGGGGTTGGGGGACTGTGTGGGAAGACATGAGCATGAAGGGAATGAAAAGAAACACTAGAAAGGATAGAACCAGGCATTCTAGTAATCTCAGTAAGAGCAACTGTGCAACTGAGTTGTTGGGACTAAAATGTTGGAATACAGATATCCCAATTTTTTTTTTCAACTTTTCATTACTCAGCTCACAGTACAAAGTCCCAGGACAGAAAGTCCAATATGTCCAGCTTAAGCAATGTGTCCACAAAGTTGGCAAGGAAGGCCAGGCACCTTGATTTACAGCTTCACCAGCTTGGACCTAATGAGAGGAAATAATTCTCCAGAAGGCTGTTACCAAAAGAAGAATGTTGGACAACCACAAGGAATCCTTCTCCAGGTCTCTATGAAATAAGTTTAACCAAAAGGCAAACTCAGATATTCAAGACGTAGTGTTATAAGATCCACATAAATGATATTTGTTGTGGATCAGTTTCACTCATTTATATCTACATGAGTCTGGAGAGGTGAAGGCTTTTGTCCTGTTTTTACAGATAATAGAAAAATTGAGGCACAGAGACATGTAGTCAGTTGGTAAAAGTCACAGAGGTGACAAATGTCAGTGCTGGGGTGCAAACTGAAAACTGTCATTTTATTACCATACACATTCATGCCTACCCATTCTTAAGAAGTTTAAGAATGTGGGAGAGAACCAGTGAAAGATGATGGATGTTGCAGGAGGCAAATGTTATTTGGGGTAATTGGAAAGACCTTTAGACAAGGTTGGGACCTGTAAAAACATAGTAGTGCAAGGGAAGGCTGCAGTAAAATATATTTCAGGGAGGCAGAAAGGAGTGAACAAGGACTTAGGAGCAGTTGAAATGAATCAGTGATGGCAATATTGGTATGGAGGTCAGGTAGGGTCTTGGATTTGTATTTTACTTGCCTAGTAATAAGAAACAGTCAACATTTTTTGATTGGGGTAAGGAATGGAAGCACCAGGAAATGTGTGTTAAAAAAAAAGTAGTCTGTGTCTGCCTGTTCTATTAATGGAGTGAGTGGGGCTCTGAGAAAGGAGCCGACCAGGCATTGAGCAGCTGAAAGAAAGTGAAGCTAAGGTAACCTGTGCTAGTGAACTGTGGGTGAGGGTGGAGGAGCACTGATGGGATCCAGCTGCTGAATGGATGTTAGGGATGGTGGTAAGGTGAAGGGAAATGTCAAATAAGTTTTAAAGGTTTTGAGCAAAGAAGGCCATCTGATGGGAGTACCATAGTATGGACAAGACAGGAAGAAGAATAAGCTTGGAGGAAAAGAGAGATGGTCAGTCTTCTGCAAACGGAAGACTGATGCCTGGAAGAATAATGTAGCCTAGAAATAGAGTTGGGAAGTTATCTCTGTAGAAATGATGCTTGAGACATAGCATGAACCAGAAGTGAGCTTTTGAAGTTACACACTTGAGAAAGGATAGCAGTGTACTAGTGCAGCTTTGGAATGCTCCCTAAAATTAATCTGACCTTGATGGTGTGTAAAACTCAGGGCTAATTCAGAGTTAATTTTTATATTAAATTTCTTCTCATTTTTAAAGCAATCATCAAAATAACGTTATTTTCTGTTTCAAACTAGAAAGATTTCAGATGACTGGCATATGTCCCTTTTCTTAATTGAGCCCATCATTCCTTCACTTCAACGAACTCTCCTATATGTGAATGGAGTGCATAAAAGGAAAGGATTTTGAGGAATTATCTTTGCTACAAGCAGTAGTTACTGTAAAATAGCAGAGCTGAAAAATAAATACCTCAGAGCTTTATATTAGTGAATTACCTCATTTTTATTGATGAATTGCCTCATTTTACCTCTGTGAAACTGTGTTTTTCTAGCCACTGTTTCTAAAGACATAGGAATTCCCAGGAGTTGGCATCAGGAATCTAGAAAAGACCAATGTCATCTCATAGAAAACTCATGAGCTTATCTGGTAAGAGAAGGGAGGGGCTTCACACGACATGCCTGCCTTTTTCCCTCCTAGGTGCTTGTGATATTTGTTCTTGGTATCATGTATAGAATGCTGGTGTGTTTGCCTCAAATCCAGATTGTTAATATTTAGTTGTCAGAAAGATAAAACTATGATTCTTATATAAATATAGGATATAGTGCAGTTCTTATTAACTAGTTCACTAGTTTATACTAGTGAACTAGTATAAATTAACAATAGTTCACTTATATAACTCATCCAGAAATATGACATACCTGGTTCAAAGGGCCTTTGAGGATTAAGAGTGTATATAGTCTATCAGGAAAGACATATTAAAATAAAATTTTACTTTTGAAGTTAGAGACAAAACAGTTTAAAGAGCTATTAGGCAATAAAATCATAACCTTTGGGACTGTCAATTCAATCAGAAAAAAAGTAATTTGCACTTCTATAGGATCAATATTTTAATTAAGGTAACTGGTAAACTCACAGAGGCTGGGCCCTGATCAAGTACAAATAGCAAATCAAGTAAGGTTTATTTTCCTAGAGGAGAGCAAATGTTGACAAATTACAGTAGACCAAAATCCACTGGCCACTTGGTTTTCTAAATAAAGTTCCTTTGGGACAAAGCTACACCCATTTGTTTGTTTCCTATGGCTGATTTTGTGCTACAAAGGTAGAGCTGAATACTCATGACAGAATATATGGTTCTCAGAGCCTAAAATGTGTACCATATGACCCTTTGCAGGAAAAGTGTCTTGACTCCTGGCCTAGAGAATGAAATAATCCTTGGGTGGGCTGGTAAACAATGAACATGCAATAATCCATTTACCTGCTCGTACATTGTGGATAATTTCTCCCAACAAGGGAAAGAAATGGAAATCTTGACAAGGGAAAGAAATGGAAATCTTGACAAGGGAAATCTTCTAGTATAAGGATGAAAAACAACAAAGCTCAAGCTACCTGGTGTGCAAGGTCAGGGGTCATGTCTTGACTCCCAGTCATAATCCAGTGTTAAGAGTATCGGTTTCTTGTGTATATTCTAGTGGGAAGAGAGAGAGAAGGAGACAGAGAGAGAGAGAGAGAGAGAGAGAGAGAGAGAGAGACAGGGTGAGACAGAGAGAGAGAGAGAGAATGAACTAGAGAACTGTGAGTGTGGATATGATTTCCTTGCCTCAGCCCTGCAACTCAGGACAGTCACAGAACATGGGTTGGCTAAGGTGTCACTCTGGGAGCCAGAAGACCTGCATTCAGACAGAGGCTCATTGTTTTAAGGTTTGTATTTAGTTTGGTTCCAGCGTGACCTGTTCTTTCAGCTCCTCAAACACTCAGCACCTCCGTTCTCAGAAACAGCCACAGAGATGAACCACATTTTCTTCCTACAGAAACACTGAAGTCAAGCTCAGAGTCTGCTTGCTTGGGAGGCAACATGCCTTCCCAGTTTTAGAAGAGAAGGTGGGACCAGATGACCCCTGCTTCTCAAAAATCTCCATATGTTTTTATAAGCATATTTAAAAATAATGCTGTTTGCATAAACATATATGCTACATTAATTTCCTTTTAAAAATTATTTTAAAAATATGTTATTGTATAACCAAGAAAACGAAGATATGTCTCTCCCTCTAAGGTCTGGAGATAATGTACCATTGTCAGAATACTTAAAGGTACCCTAATTTTCCAAACGTGAACTCTAAACAGAGGATACTAAAAAGAGTCATTATAATCATTGCATTTAGATTCCTCAATATTTAAGTCTGTGCCCAGGGTACAATTGTTGAGTGCGGCAGGCAGATTGAGAATTTGGCTGACATATTGGTATTTCAGTGGGAGGATTTCAGAGCTTACTTAGAGAAATACCTATAGATGTCATCATACTAATGACTATCTGCACCCAAATAAATTCAAGTGGGCAGCACTGTTAAGGTCACATAGCAGAAATATATTCATTCTAGAAGATCTAGATATAGTACAACTTTATTTAACTTCAGATTAGTGATGAGTCTATACTCTTGTTAGTGGAATAACCATGTAAATTATCATTGAATTGTCAAATAAAGTCCTTACAGACATTTAGAGTTTAATAAGATGTAACTTAAAATCTATAATGGTTGTGCAGTCCCAAGAATAAGGTGTGATAGAACTGTTGGATTTCACCATGTTTAGAGCTCTTTATGCCCAGGGAGAAGACATGTATACTCCTTAAGAGGCAAAGAAATGGCAAAATTTAAATGAGATCACCTCATGTTGAAGTTGCAGACTTTGTTATATATTGTGAATCCAGAAATTTATTGGACTAGTGGCCACTCCTTCATGTAATTGTGGGTTAATTTATATAGCAACTATAGACTGAGTTTAGAGCATCCATTCATGTCTACAGTAAGAATCCGGCCAACTTGTTGAACAAAAACTCCATGTCCTTATTACCCTAAACAATACTGGAGAGGCATCAACCAAAATTATATGGCATAATATAATAGTTTATGTAATTCCAAATACTATACTTGGTTTAAATCTTTGATGGGAAACAGTGTCATTTAACTGGGATGGGGACACTCTTCCTCATTTAGTAGGTAACTTTTAACCTCAATGAGATTTAGAAAATTAGGGAAGTGTTTAGGAAATTTAAAACCATAATATTAATATTATCTCATTAAGAAATCTGTGTTAGGTTAGTATTTTATAATTTTCTAATATTTAAGAGTATTTAACCTAGTAGAGCACAGAAGAAGTCCAGTTTTAAAATTTATAATTGAACAATCATTTAAATTTTTTGTTTATAGAATTGGAATATTTAAGAGTATCAATGTTTCACCAAAATTTTAATTTAATTTATAAAATTTATATAAATTAGAGGTTAACTGAAATATGTAAAAATTAAATAACTAAATATTTAAAATGTAGTTAAAATGCTTAAGATATTTTAATACATTTATTTATAAAAACTATTATTTAAAGGTCCTTTAAAAGCAATCACTTTTAAACACTGCTAGAGAATAGGATTTTCAAGCTAAACACAAAATAACTTATAAACTAGATTCTTGAAGTTTTCGTATTAGTAAATTCAGTATTACTTGGTTGAATGCAAAATGAGCCTCTGAATAATCTTTTCTGCATATAAAAATTATACTTAAAAATATCCCCATCCCAGTCTCCCATATGACATTGCTAATTTTGGAGATAAAGAAATGGAATCAAAAGGAAGTAAATTGCTTTGACAAAGATCAAAGATATGGAAGAGAAGAGCTTAAAGTCCCATCTCTGGACAGCCAATACATTTTCTTTCCAATAACATTATTTATTAAGACATATTGTATACAGGTGATATAGTTCGTTTATCTTATTGATTTATTATTTCAGATTGTAGCTATTTATTTCTCATATTAATACCTCAGTTCTTTGGGATTTGCATGGTGTTATTCTAACTCTGTGATTTCATTGTTATAGTTTTCTAATGGTAATTATTTGTGGGTATTAGAGAGACCAAATGGATCATTTTCTTAAATGAATGGGTAGCTTAACTCCTCTACATTAAAATGTATAAGTCTATCAGAATTTGAAGTGCAAGAAGAATTCAAATAGAGCTTCTACCTACACTAAATGACATCAAAAGCAGAAATAGAGTTTCAAAAAAATCTGGAAGTATCAAAAGTAATTATTGGCAGCCTGTGATTTATTAACAGCCACATTCAAATCAATCTTGTTTGTAACAAACTTTGTCACATTGAAATGAAGTTAAGGTGGCCAATGTCCAACACATGCCCTTTGTTGGCTGGAGGTTGGTAAAGAGACTGGAGACAATTTGCTCAGGCAGGAGAATCCATAAACTCTCCTCACTGGGCCTTGCCTTGGAGATCAGCATTCAGGAAAGGGGGTTATACACTGGATTCCTTCTTATATGACCTAGTAGTTTGATAGTGAATTAAAAAATCAGTTATAACAGATGGACTCACACAGATGCAAATATATATACATACTGTGTGCATTTTGAATTGTATAATATGGAAATATTCAAACATATCTCAAGGTAGAGAGAGCAACATGGATTCCACAATTATAGGTATTTCACCATTCTCATTTCATCCATCTACACATAAATGCATTCACATGCACACTTTTCCTTCTGCCTGTAATATTTTAAAGCATGTCTCAAATATCTTATCATTTTATGTATAATCTTTTATATTTCTGTATCTGCATGTGTCTTTAACAGAAAATTAAAATTAAAAACAAAAAGCACAGCCAGAATATCTTTTTCACACCTAGAAATTAATGATAATTCTTTGAGATCTTTTAATGCCTAGTCCATGTTTAAATTTTCTCAATTGTGTCAGAGATGTCACTTTACATTTAGTTTGCTAAATTAAGATTTAAATAAGGTCTTTATATTGTGTTTAGATTCACTGCTTATTAAATTTTTTTAATGTATGCAGCTCCCGTACGTTTTAATGTCATTCATTTGTTAAATCAACTGTGTAGTTTTTCCTGTAAAATTTCCAGTGTTCTGGACTTCGCTGATTGTTTCTCTAAGATGTTGTTTAACATGCTGTCATTTCCAAACTGCTGGTTCTAGAATGGTGTGTCCAATGGAACTTTTTTTGAAAATGGAAACACTCCATATCTACTCTAAGATGGTAGCCACTGAGCCACATGTAGCTATTGAGCATGTGGAATATGGCTAGTTAGACTGAGGAACTAAAATTTTTATTTAATTTAAATTTAATTGCCACGTTTCTAGTGTTTGTAGCATACATCCATCATTGCCAAGATCTGTTGTTTCATTAGGTGTTGCAAAAGGCTTATCATACACATTTTATTTTAACTTAAAAAAATTCTAATAAATACTGATTTGTCAGTTTATCATGGTAGGGCCTAAGTGCTTTCTCTGAAGATAGATTTTCCTGTTAGCATTCCACATCATCGTTTAGCACAAACCACATTTGAAATGTGGGATCCATGATTAACATTTGCAGTTTGATTGAAGAGAAATGAGCCCTTAAAAATACTTGGAGAGTAATCTTTCTGCACAGCACTTTTAGATTTTTATAACATTTCCCACCAGCCTCATCTTCAACAATATTTTTAATATCTTGATTTAATTGCATCATTCCCATTCATTTTAATTTTTAATTAATTATTTATTTAAGTGGACTATTCATGGGGCACATATTGATATTTCCATATGTATAATGTATAGTGATCAGATCAGGGTAATTAGCATGCCATGATTCCTTTTCAGTTGGATATAACATTGAATTCAGTTACCCGATCACAGCATAAGAACTGACCTAGTTGAATTTGGGAACAAACAACACAGATTCTTGGTAAGCAAATAACCAGACAGGTAAGAACAGAAGTTCATGGACATTATAGTGTGGCTTAGAAAGCACATGTGTTCATCAGTCAATGTGCTTTATAGAGGAAGAATAGAGCATGAGTTATCCTGATCATTGGTGAATTAGAGGTGGGTTGTGAAAGTTTCTCTTGAATGGGGCATCATTTCCAGCTCCTTAGGTGACAGGCCATTGTTTACTTCTGTCCTGGTGCACGATCTTGGCTGCTTTGGATTTGATTAGCAATGTAAAGAATACAAGTGACTTGTGGGTCTATAACTAAATAAAAATACAATTTCTTGGTAACACTTGGCTGTGACCCACTCTGGAACCAAGAAATTCTCCAAGCTCTACTCCACGCCAGCTTCCCAGTCAGGGATTACATGCTCTGGATAATGTTCTAGGTCAAGAATCTGTGCAAGAAAATATCTTTGCTTGCTCAGATCTTGTTATGTCTCACCGCCTTAGCTACCTATCTGCTAGATACATACAATCTCGGGAGTAAGTGGCATTGTCCTTGTCTGTTTGTACAATTTAGAACATGTATAAAGTGATTGACAAGAGTAGTTGCATTTTCTGTTGAAGATGCACCAAAAAACCCTTTCTTTCAAAGAAAAATTTTAAATTTCATTGTCTCCTCCAGTGATTTTCCTCTTCTCTAATCTGTAAGTCATTAAAACCCTGTGCCTCTTCTGGCCACACCTTCCCATTTCTGGAAACTCAAAATATAGTTTTCCTTGAAACAATATTATGAAAGGAAGATGCAGTGAAAAAATTATAATTAAGAGCATGATATGGTTGGGCTTTGTTTCCCTACCCAAATCTCATCTTGAATTATAATCCGTATAATCCCCAGGTGTCAAGGGAGAGACCAGATGGAGGTATTTGGATCATAGAGGTTTCCCCTATGTTATTCTCATGATAGTGAGTGAGTTCTCATGAGATTGGATGGTATTATAAGTGTTTGGTAGTTCCTCCATTCATTCTTCCTGCCACCTTATGAAGAAGGTGCCTTGCTTCCCCTTTGCCTTCCATCATGGTTGTAAGTTTCCTGAGGCTTCCCTAGCCATATTGAACCGTGAGTCAACGTAAACTCTTTCCTTTTTAAGTTACCTAGTCCCAGATAGTTCTTTATAGCAGTGTGAAAATGGACTAATATAGAGCATATTCTGTATCAAGAAGCTTTCATTATAACAAATATAGAAGCATTTATGACATAATATTTATGTCATGTATTTTTTTTTATTATACTTTAAGTTTTAGGGTACATGTGCACATTGTGCAGGTTAGTTACATATGTATACATGTGCCATGCTGGTGCGCTGCACCCACTAACGTGTCATCTAGCATTAGGTATATCTCCCAGTGCTATCCCTCCCCCCTCCCCCGACCCCACCACAGTCCCCAGAGTGTGATATTCCCCTTCCTGTGTCCATGTGATCTCATTGTTCAATTCCCACCTATGCGTGAGAATATGCGGTGTTTTTTTAAGGGACATAGTATATTTTATTATGTGCATTACTCATTTAAATTTTGTTTCTGTAAATTTACTGCTTTGGGTCTTGGTACACTCTCCAGAATAGTTTGAATGCTTTTTCTTTTTAGTAAAAACTTCATTAACTGCATGTACCTAGGTTTTCCAGCTTGTTTCTTTTCAATTTGGTTTACATGTTTTTAACCTAGAGAATTTGTAACATTTTTATAGCAAAATCTATCAATGTTTTCCTTAATAATGTATTTCATCACTTTTACATGTAAAAGTAAAGATTGGTCTCCTCTTGAAATCCAGTAAATGTTTATTGTTCTGTTCTGTTTTGTTTTTTTGAGACAGGGTCTCCTTCTGTCTTCCAGATAGGAGTGCAATGGCATATCATAAGTCAGTGAAGCCTCCAACTTCCAGGCTCAAGCAATCCTCCTGCCTCAGGCCCCTGAGCAGCTGGGACTACAGGCATGCACCATGATGCTCAGCTATTAATTAACTAATTAATTTATTTGTTTATTTTAGTAGAGATGAAGTCTCACTATGTTGTCCAAGCTGGTCTCAAACCCCTGAGCTTAAGATCAACCCACCTCAGCCTTCCAAAGTGTTGGGATTAGACGGATGATCCACAACTCCAGGCTTTTTGCTCATTTGCTTTATTCTTTCTCCAAATGTAAGGCCAGTTGTCCTTTTGTGATTTACTACATAAACCATCCTTTGTTTACTATCTTTCATGCCATTTCTGTCCAATATTAAGCTACCAGTGTTTGTTTCAGGACCAGGATTCTCGTATTTTCCACTGGCCTATTTATCTTTCTTTGTGACTGCATACCTCATCTCTTTAATATCCTTGTTTACTGGATCCAAGTGTTGAAACCACCTGGATAAAGTTTATAAAATTAATCAGGGAAGAAGAGAAGGAAGAAACAAAAATAAACCAAGCTTGCACCATGTCCAGCATTCATCATTAGGTCAGCCTGCTCTCTGACCTGCATCCTTGGAGTTGTTTGGTGCTGACTGTCCTGGAATCACATGGACCCTGGATTATAGTTCCCCGTAACTGGTCTATAGATAACAACCTGAACATTATGAGACATTAAGTTTTCTCTTTGAGATATTCCTTCAGGTCCTGATGAAACTACTGACTCAGCTGGTCTGAAGGACCCCACTGATGCCAGTTGGGCTGAAGAACCTTGTGAGAAGCTGACTCACCAAAGAATGCAGTTTCCACATTCTGATGATTTCATCCTGTTTGCCCTGGCCAATCAATGATCCCAATTTTTCAGCCTCTCATCTTCCACAATCTCCTTGAAAATGCCAGCTCAGAACTCCCTGGGGAGATGGATTTGATGTTATCCTTCCACCTCTTCACTTGGCACCCTACAATAATTAAATTCTTTCTCTGCTGCATCCCTGCTGCCTCAGTGTAATTGGTCTGTTACTGTGCAGTGGGCATATAAACATGTTGGCCCTATAACAAATTTTGTTATAAGAGCTATTCAAGAGCCCCTTGTGGACATTTGGCTCAGTGCCCCCTTTCCACTGGGATGGACCCAGAGACAAGCCAAGTGGCCACTCAGTTCCACCGAACTAGCGGCTATCTCTGATGTCTTGCCTATTGACAGATCTTGTGACCTCCTTGGAGTTCTTGTGGCCTCTCAGAAGGTCTTGTTGCTTCCTTGGAAGTCTTATGGCCTCCTTGAAGGTTTTGTGGCCTTCTTAGAGGTCTTCTTGCCTCTTTCAAGGTCTTGCCAAACCTCCCTAGAAATAAGAAGGACCTTGTTTGAGGGGATTTCTATTCACTTGGAAAGAGAATAAAGGGCATTACTTGGGTGAAATTTCTGAAATTTAGAACTTGATTTTGGAAGGCCTTGTTATTTATCTTTGTCTTATTATGCATACTTACGGCCATGGAGGAAATCCCCTGAAGGAATTACTAGCAGAAGCTCAGCAGGCCTAATTCAGGGAACTATCTTTTTTTGTATGGCTAGTAACATTTGGTGAGCCCTGAAGGAATTGCTACTGGAAGCTCCACTAGCCTAACTCAGAGTGACCATCTGCTCTTCCATCCTTCCTGGGGACCACCTACTGAACTTCCAGTGGAGCTCATTCCTCCCCGCCTTGAGTGCATCAGTGGTGCTAGAGACCAACAGGAACAAGTGTCAGCCTCACCACGTCAAACTTCGGCAGTGAGCAGAGTGACTAGTGCCTGTGTTTTGGTGTGTGCGCATCTTGGCTGGAATGGGAAATGTTGATTTGGTTCTCTGAAGCAGTCTTTTGGGCTGCAACCTGCAAAATTCAGAAGGTTTTGTCTATAAGTGCATGAAACAAACAAACAAAAAGTTGATTTTCTTTTGTAATACTGCCTGGCCACAATACATGCTGGATTCAGGTAAGCAGTGGTCATTAAAAGGCTCCCTCGATTACAGTACTATCCTGCAGTTTACTGCAAGAGGAAAGAGAAATGGGAAGAGATCCCTTATGTATAATATTTTATTCTGCTTTGGCAAAATAAACCAATGGAAAAGAAATGCAAAATCATTGTTCAGCAAAGGAAAATACCTGTTTGGCTGACTGACAAGAAAAAAGATAATGATACGTTGGTGGTTCAACTAAATAAGCATACTGTTCTCACAGCGTCATCACCTTATGTGGAAGCTGCAGCTGCTCTGCTGGCCCCTAAGCTGGAGTCCTCACCCTACAGAGTTCAGGAGTTAGGAGCAACAAAAGTGGTCTTTCCCTCTCATTCCTGACAGGGAACTCAATTCAATCAGGATGCCATTTTGGCTCTGGGAGGACAATTCCCCTTACAGCTACTCATAAAAGAGTTTGATGCTGCTTACAGGCCAACCTATGGGATTTGTTTGGGTCCACTCTCCATTTTCTACCTCTGACTTGTTTAATTGGAAAAACAACATGCCCACCTGTCAGCAAGATGCAAAGTGGATAGAGAATCTGTTCTCCTCAATATTTGGTACTCATATCCCCACATGGACAAATGTCTAAAATTTTTTAAACATATTTTTAACCTTAGAGAATCAGAGAATGGGTTTAGATAAAGCTCAGGAGGAAACTTATTGACTGCATGCTGACTCACCCGGCAATCTGGTAAGAACAGCTGCCTAAGTTGCAGTGCCCGCCCTTTATCCAGGATTGAATGTAAACACTGCAGATAGACCTAAGCTGGAACATGATTGGGATTGCATTTTGGCTGGTCTGTGGAAGGGGGTGCCCAACCAAAGAAACCTCAGTAAGGACCAGGAATTTAGAGAGCAACCTAATGACAGTTTCTCAGAGTTCTTACAGTGGGGTTTTGAAGAGTTTGGACAATACATGGATATTGATCCAGAAGCCCCAGACAATTTAAAAATGGCATACATGAGGTTTGTTAGTCAAAGTGCCACAAATTCTTGGAAAAAGCTGAAAAAGGTGGACAGGCTTTTATGAATGTCTTTGTCTTAGTTGGTGGATATTGCTTTCAATGTATTTACTGATCCAGGTGAAGAAATGGAAATAAAAACGAAAAATGTACAAACAGCTGACTTGTTGGCTGAGGCTTTGACTCAAGGAGTCCCTAGACCATGATAGGGACCCCTGCAAGCACATCATCTAAGGTAGGACCACCTTGGCCCCAAACTATCAATAAAAATGGTTGTCTTACTGCAGGTCCCAAACAGTGTGCCTATTCAAAACGGAAAGATGACTGGAAAAAAGATTACTCATGCCTCAAAAGCCCAGTGCTGGGAAAAGTTAGCCTTCAGTTCACCTAATTCCCCAGATGTCTAAAGGGCTTGAAGCAGATCAGGAAGAATGGGGCTGAGGTCTTTCTCCTGACCCAAACCATACCTTCTGTATTTCCCATATGGAGCCTTGGGTAGCAATGACAATAGGAAATGAGTTTTTGAAGTATTATGTAGATGCCGGTACTGCTTATTCAGTATTGAACACTCAGTTGTCTAAATTTTCTTTTGAGTTTATAAAAGTGGCTGGGGTCTTTGGAAAGATACTGCCAAGATTACTTCTCCGAACTTTGTGCTTTCAACTAGGACAAACTCATTTAAAAGCTGGTTTCCTATACATGCCTGAATGTCCTATTTGTTTGTTGGGACAAGACTTCCTGGCCAAATTAAATGCTTAAGTTACCTTTTCTCTGCATTGGATGAACATTCAGGGGCCCCCAGAAAAAGCCTGTGTTCTTCAGGTTGCCTTCTTGCAAAGAGAAGTTATTGAAAATGCCCCCACACAGGAAGAGGTATAAGACAGGGGTCCCCAACCTCTGGGCCATGGACCAGTACCAGTCCATGGCCTGTTAGGAACCAGGCCACACAGCAAGATGTGAGCATTACCACCTGAGCTCTGCCTCCTGTCAGAACAGTGGCAGCATTAGATTCACACAGGAGTGCAAACTCTATTGTGAACTGTGCATGCAAGGAATCGAGGTTGTGTGCTCCTTATGAGAATCTAACCAATGCCTGATGATCTGAGGTGGAACAATTTCATCCCAAAACCATCACCACCACCCCCATTCCCCACCACTATCTGTGGAAAAATTGTCTTCCATGAAACCAGTCCCTGGTGCCAAAAATGTTGGGGACACTGCTTTAAGAGGTGAGTCCAGAAACTTGGGCAGATGAGGCCAGGGAAAGTGAAAACCACACTCCCAGTGTGAGTCAAGGTTATGCTAGAGTAACAGTGAAAAACCTAAAACAGTACACTAAGGGAGAACAGGCACAGTGGGGCATTTAGCCTTTATTGTTTGCCTTCTTACAATATGAGCGCATTAGACCCTGTCAGATCCTGTGCAATATGCCTATTCTGCCACTATAGAAGCCTGGACTTAAATAATATACATTTATACAGGATTTGAGGGCCAATAAGCAGATTATGGAAGACATCCATCCAGCGGTCCCCAATCCTTACACACTACTCATGACATTGCCTGGTAAGTTTGGCTGGTTTTCAGCCTTAGAGCTAAAAGATGTCTTTTTCTGTATTCCCCTGAATCCAGAGTCCCAATAACTGCTTGCCTTGGAATAACAATACCATGTTCTAAAGCCTAACAGCTGTTTTATTGGACAGTGCTTCACCAAGGTTTCGAAAACTCTCCAACTATCTTTGGGGAAATACTTGCCAAGGACCTGTGAGACCTCCAATTAAAAGATGAGACTTTGTTACAGTATGTTGATGACATAGTAATAGCCTGCACTACTAAGACAGACTCTGACCAGAACACTATATTGACTTTAAATTTCCTGGCAGAAGAGGGATACAAGGCCTTTGTGTTAGGCTGCTTTGCATTGCTATAAAGGAATACTTGAGACTGGGTAATTTATAAAGAAGGGAAGTTTTACCTTGTCCCATGGTTCTGCAGTCTGTACATGAAGCATAGAGCTGGCATCTGCTTCTGGTGAGGGCTTCAGAAAGCTTATATTCATGGCAGAAGGTGACAGGGGAAGCTGCTGTATTACATGGTGAGAGATGTCCCTTTCATTTACACGTCCTTGCATTTTCAGAATATCTTCCTTTACTCTTAAAGCTTTAATCACCCTTTTGTTCCTATTTCCATTACTGCAATGTTTAGAATAGCACAATAATACTGTAAACAAACTGTCTCAGAATACTGCTACTGGAGAAAACCTGTCAAATTGTTGGATCTGTCAGAAATTCCCAAAGATCATTCAAGATACACATTTTTCATTAGTGACTTCTTAGATCACAGACTTCTTAGATGTCCACAATCACACTGTGGTTCATTGTCTGTGAATAACGGAGAGTTTTGCTTCTTCTTCTTCAATCCTTTTATCTTTCATTTTTCTCTCTCTCTCTCTTTTCTGCTTGCCTGGGATCTTCAGACAAGATTTGATAGTAATGATGATAGCACATGTCTTTATCTTGTTTATATTTTCAATTGGATGGTTTTAGTGTTTTATCATTACCTGTGATCAGGTTTATGGTTTACCAGGCTATGGAACTTATCTGTTAAAAGACTTTTTTGTTTTTTAATAAAGACTGGTGCTATGCTTTGAATGTGTCTTTTCCAGATGTCATGTTGAAACTTATTCCCCATTGTAGTGGTACTAAGAGGTGGCACCTGTAGGGAAGTGACTAAGATATGAAGGTGCTCTGCCCTCATCAATGAATTAGTGTCTTATAAAAGGGCTAGAGGGAACTGGGTGAGGTCATTTTATGCCCTTCCTTCCCTTCTTCCAAGTGAGGATATAGCCTTCAAAGTGACATCTTTGAAACAGAGACTGGGCCCTCAGTGCACAGAACCTCTTGACACCTTAATCTTGGACTTTCCATCCTCCAGAACTGTGACAAATAAATTTCCATTCTTTATAAATTACAAATGATGAGGTATTTTGTATAGTAGTGCAAACAAACTAAGACAATTGGGTATTGGATTTTATTAAATGCATTCTGTGAATCTATTGAGATCACAATTTTATCTTAATTTGTGAATAATATTAAATATGCTAGTGTGAAAGTGGTAAAATAGATGAAAATTTTATTTAATTTTAAATAGTTAAATAATTAGATTAATAATTATCCAATATTTAATTTGAATAATACAATTAATGTAATTTAATATACTTTTTGCTAATAAAATATTATAATTTTGCACTTGTGCTCATAAGTGTAAATTGAGTTGTATTTTTTCCTCATATATTTAATTTCTGGTT
The DNA here is from genome assembly GCF_000001405.40 of Homo sapiens. Classification (NCBI taxonomy): domain Eukaryota; kingdom Metazoa; phylum Chordata; class Mammalia; order Primates; family Hominidae; genus Homo; species Homo sapiens. Next base: position 7,739,112 of record NC_000020.11, on the reverse strand, counting down.
TGAGCATTAAAACCTCATAAAACAAATTGTGTGTATTCTTTCATTTTCTGTTTTCTAAAACAGGTGAGTTTAAATTTGTTTGTAAACTCTCTGGGTCTGGTGTTTATTTTTGTGGTTTGTTTTAAACAACTGATTTGCTTGCTCTAATGGTTATAGGTCTATTTAGATTTCCATTTTTTTCCCCAGGGCAACCGCTGTCATGAAGGATTTTTTAAAATTCAATTTTGGTAAGTCTTATTTTTGCATTAACTTTGTTTTTATTTGCCTGCATTTTCAATATTATTGGCATACAAATAATGAATGAATAACTGAGAAAGGAAAAATATAAGGGACACAATTTGGAAAACAAATAGTAAAATGTTGAAATTCAAATATATCAGATTTTCCATTCAATATGAATATTGTAAATACTCTAATATAAATATTAAAATGTTACTTGTAAAAGGAGAAACCTTAAATTTAAAAATTGCAGAAAGGGTGAAAGAAAACATCTGAAAAATGTTTGTAAATCACACAAACATTAACTAGAATAAAGTTAGTATAGACACACTAGTATCAAACAGGGCAAAAAGAAGAGATAAGGGGAGATATTTAATGGTGATTAGTGACATCACCAGGAAGATATAATATAGTAATTTTAAACTTATAGCTATAAAATTTCATAGTATTAAAATAATTAGTGTAAAAATTGACAGATCTTATGGAGAAAGAAAAATCCATAATCATATTTGGAGATTTTACCACCTCTCTTTCAGAGTAACATAAGGACCAAGATTCAGGAAGGGTACATAAGCTCTGAACAACACAATTAATCATGCCAAGTTAACAGCCAAATTTGTAAATATAAAATACTATGTTAACAACTGATACATGTGCACGATTTCCCACACACATTGAAAATTCACCAAATAGGCCAAACCCTGGATCATAAAACAAGTCTCAACAAATTTCAAATAATGCACCATATAGAGTATGTCCATTTACTATAGTGGAACTAAGCTAGAAATTAACTGCAACATAAATATTAAGAAATGTTATTTAAACAACCTGGGGTTAAGAAATAATCACAATAGAAATTAGAAAATATTTTGAACTGAATTATAATAACAACATTACATAACAAAACTTGCAGGATCCAGCTAAAGTCATTGTTGAAGGGAAATTTATATTCATTTATTAAATAAGAGGAACCACTTGAAATTAATCCAAGAACCCATTACAAGATGTTAGAGAAAAAAAAGAGTAATTAAAGCCAATATAGAAAAAGAGCAACAACTAAATTTAATCAAGGAAATGGGGGGAAGAAACTGAAATAGATGAAATTTAAAAATATAATAGAAAGTATCAACAAAGCCAAAAAATGGTTTTCAGGGAGGAAAAATAAAATGATGCCTAACTGGAAAGACTGGTAAAGAGAAAGGACATTTAAAAAACTAATAAAATCAGGGATGAAGAGGGGCATCATTATGGATCCTGCAGACATTGACAAGACAACAAAATAGGATTATGAACAACTTTATCCTAATAAATATAAAAATATAGAAGAAAAAATATTTATAGGAAAACAAAACTTTCTAAAATTGACAGAGAAAAGAGAGAAAATTTAAATACCCCCACACATATTAAAGAAATAGAATCTACATTTCACCTACTGGGGAGGTGAGGAGACAACTCCAGACTCGGATGCTCCCCTAGTGAATTCAAAATAAAATCTTACTTTGAATTAATTCCAGACATATATGAAATTGTAAAAAAAAATTACAGAATTCTATGTGCAATTTATCCAGCTTTCTCAAATAGTAACATCTCACTATTGGTGAATTTTTATGAAATAGTTAAGGAAAAAAATAACAGAAAAAGATACATATATATAAACTTTCAGAGAATAGAAAAGAGTCATCAACTTCCCAGCTTTCTTCATGAGGCCAGCGTCATCTTGATCCAATATCTGACAAGGACAATATATGTAAGGAATACTACAGGCCAATCTCTCTGATTTGAAAATCTTAAACAAAATATCTTTAAAAATCAGTGATTTACAGAAATAAAATCATATCATCATCAAATTGGTTTCATTCTAATAATATATAAACGGTTAAAGATTTTAAAAATCAATAGGTGCAATTCACCACAGTAACAAAAAGAGAAAATCATATGATGATATGAGAAAACATGAATGATTAGATTCAAACTATATGTAAAAGAAACTGTTAAAAAACCAGAAATAAAAGGGAACTTCCTTAATCCAATTAGGTGTAGCTTAAAAAAAAACCAGTAGCAAGTATGCCATGATAAAATGTTGAAAGCTTAAGATTAGAAATAGTGGAAAATCTTATATGTTATTTTCTAAGAGTACTACCTCAAAAATAAATGACTATTTTAGGAGAGTTGGGCATTTTTCTAATATTTAGGAAAGATCCAAAAACCAGTGGGCAGTATTCAAAAGCAGGCCTGCCAACTGGAGTTTCCTGTGAAGAAATCCATTGTCTTTTAAAGGAAAGGGTTTGACCAGAAAACGCAATGACCTAATCCAACTATTTTAAATGACTTAATTGTATGTTTTGTTCTATTTGGATTGGAAGGTAACTATGAAATTAAAGATGATGCATTTTGTTAATGTTGAAATCTGTCTGGGCTATGATTAATGAGATGCCTCATATTCTAGTCACATTGATTGCCTTAATCATTGTCCATCTCTTTTTTCATACATTAATTACAACATGCATTTGTGAATTTTTCAGTAGACTGCCATTTTCTATACAAGGGAATGAGCTTAACTTAGATTAGCTGTTAAGAAAATTGACTTCAGGGTCATCCATCTTTGTAGGTTGACCTCATTGAGAAAAATGATTAAAAAGCCTAATTTTCTATTTTACATTAAGGTAAAATGTAGAAAATGTTTTGCCTGTACAAGGGCAATAGTGCATTTTCCCACATTTTATATGACTACACTAGTTCTCCCTTGTCTGTGTATTGAATTTTGTTGTAATAATATAATTTTAAAGTTAGGGATTTTAGAATGTATAAATAATTAACTCTTCCCACAATACTTTGTAGTTAGATTCTGCTTGAATGTGGCACACTGTTATAGCCGACCAACTGTTCCACTGCTGAATAGCTAACTTTTGGAAAATTCTTCCTTTTTTCTTTTTTCTTTTTTTTTGGCAGAGTCTTGCTCTGTCACCAAGGCTGGAGTGAAGTGGCATGATCTCTGCTCACTGCAATGTCTGCCTCCTGGGTTCAAGTGATTCTCCTGTCTCAGCCTCCCAAGCACCTGATATTACAGGTGTGCCACCATGCCCGGCTAATTTTTTCTTCTATTTTTAGTAGAGACAGGATTTCACCATGTTGGCCAGGCTGGTCTTGAACACCTGACTTGTGATCTTCCTGCCTTGGCCTCCCAAACTGTGAGGATTACAGGCGTGAGCTACCACGCCCAGCCTCTTCCTTTTATTCGTTGAAAGATTCAGGTATTCTTCATAAGTGGTGTCCCATGTATAATGTATTGATTATTCATTCATACTTTCCTTTTTTCTCACATTGTCACATTGTTCTGCTTGCCATCTTCAGCACTCCATTTTGGTTTTACATGCTTTATTTTGATTTCTGGTTTACTTATTTTATTCTAGCAATCTTTATCTTTTCTATTAAGCCAATAGCCTTAGTACTATTTCCCATAATTGAAGACCCTCTCAGGCAGTAAGACACATGCTATATACACTGGAGAACACTGTCCACAAGGATCTTTTGAAGTTCTTTTCTGGGATTTGACAACCTTATACCTTTGTAATTCTCTCTTGAAATTTTTTATACATACAATGATATGAGAAATTACCTTTCCCCTCATGGCTTTATGCAAAACATATCATTACAATCAAACATCATTCACAAGAATTTCACCTTTGAGAAGTCAGGGACGATTGTCTATCTCTTTCAGCAAATATAATATACCTCTGTGTGTGTGTGTGTGTGTGTGTGTGTGTGTGTGTGTATAATATATATATAATATATATAAAATATATATATAATATATACATATAATACATATAGTGATAACTCAATTGATTTGCATGGAATTAGTTAGTGAGGGTCTTATGTAGAATATATTCGTGTTAACACCCAAAGGTGCTTCTCATCAGTTATGGATATACCAGGGCCGGTGACAAGTCAAAGAAGTCCATCTTCTGTCATTTTTTCTCTTCTTTTTCATCCTCTCTTAAGGCTCAGTAGGCCACCTTGACTAAAAGCCAGGAGGCAATGCATGAGGCTGGCTCCCCAATCACCCATTGACCTTCCACCTCCTCCTACTGGTTCTAGGTCAACTCTTGGTCCTTCTGGTTATTGTTCAATACAGAGGGATGACTGGCCCAGGTTAGCAGCAGTGGCAGATGATAATTGCTTTGTGACGATTGTTATGATCGGGTTTCTGCCATCTTTCTCTTGGAAAACCTGCAGTTTGTCAGTTATCAGATGATTTGTGCAAATGATTGATTGATTTGATATTAAAAATAGAAGTATATATTGAGCATTGATCATAGTGAAAATAAAGCAAAGAATTATGTGCACAGAGATGTGAAATGTCCCTTGTAAAACAAGTGGTAAGTAAAAAGAAGTGAAGAAACTTCAACTTTTATAAATATTTGTTCAGGAAATATGATGTAATTGTCATACTAAGTCAAGAGGTTAATATTCCTGTAAATAGTGTAGCAATGGGTATGATGATTTCTGTTACGCAAACCACAGAAGTAGTGTATATGATGTTTTATTTGACAACTATATTTGAGTCTGAGTCTAATATAGAATGCAGGTCTGCCCCAAATACCTCTTTTTTCATACTTCACACCAATGGCAAATATGCCATAAAATATTCAAAGGGTTAAAGAGATCAACTTGCAGAAATCTATTTTCCCAACTTTCAAAAATACCTCTTTGGATGTTCTAAAGGGATACTAAAGGTAATATTTAAAGATGATGTACTTTAAAAAGACCTTTGTTTCACAAACCTGCAAGATGTCCATATATATATAGCATACTAAAATGTATTTTAACTGGTGTCTATTATACAATTAAATAATGGATTAAACATTAAAAGTAATAAGGTTTTTATAAGAGGTGGCACTCTGCTAACATTAATAATTACCATCATTAATCCTGCAAGACTTTCTTGCAGGATTTTATATTATTTCCTTCTGCCAGACTCTTCAAACACTCCCAAGGAAACAGTCCTCAGTTATATTGAGTCCACTGCTACATAGCTTAAATTAATTTGTCTTTACATTGCCACTATCTTGAAACTTTTCTCTGCAGGACCCATTCATTACCTGAATATGTAGGAGAAGCAGAATGAGTAATGGGCAAACCACTGCACCTTCAATTAATCCTAAATACTCCTTTTCCAACTTGAGTTAGAAATTTGGATCCCAGACAAATTTTGATTTAGCAGGAGTATACAGCACAGAACTGGGAGTTGGGAAAGTCGGACATTCACCAAGGAGTAAACAACAATAGGGATATCCATAGGGTTTTGTTTTACACTCCAGCTCCTCCTAATTAATGGTAACTGCATACAGTGCTGTGTGGAGAAGGGTTCTGAGTCAAATCAGATTCAAGAGAAAATAGTGCTGGGAAGCACTATCAATAATTCTGATATGCATGGGAAGGGCAGCAGACAGCATTCTTGTCATATATTTACCATTCGATATCAGTGGTTATTAGCAGGGGGGCAATTTTGCCTTTCTGACCTCCAAGTGAGGTTTGGTAATGTGTGGAGATGTGTTTGGTTGGTAAGAGCTCTGCTGTCATTGAATGGACAGAGTCCAGGGATGCTGCTCAACACCACACACACAGGACAGCTGCCCACAATAAAGGTTAGCTTGTACAAAATATCAATAGTGATAAGGCTGAGAAATCTTTTCCTGCATAATTTTTAAACATATTTTGTTAAATTCAACATATCTACTGCCACACACAACTTCACTAACTTATTTTTTTCTTTCATCTACATTTTTAAGTGATTAGCATTCTCAGCAAAACCAGAAGTAACAGTTTTAGAAGAAACAATTATTTTTCATTAAGATAATGCAAGTAGCTAGGCACGGTGGCTCACGCCTGTAATCCCAGCACTTTGGGAGGACAAGGCAGGCGGATCACGAGGTCAGGGGATCGAGGCCATCCTGGCTAACACGGAGAAACCCTGTCTCTACTAAAAATACAAAAAATTAGCTGGGTGTGGTGGCACGCGCCTGTAGTCCCAGCTACTCAGGAGGCTGAGGCAAGAGAATCACTTGAACCTGGGAGGCAGAGGTTGCAGTGAGCTGAGATTGTGCCATTGCACTCCAGGCTGGGTGACAGAGTGAGACTCTGCCAAAAAAAAAAAAAAAAAGATAATGCAAGTAAAGTTGATCTGAATTCTTAGCTGAACTCAAAGTGGGTAGCATTGGAATTGATGTGATGGATTTCTGTTATCCTTTGCTTATGGTCTGAAATGCAGATCTTGCTGCCTATTTGCTTCCGTTCACTTATATCAGCTGAAGTTTCTAGTGACAAACAAGACAACCCATTTTGAGTGGCTTCCACAGAAAGGGTATTTAGGATATTTGATAGCTCAGAGAATTTCCAAGAGGGCTAGATGATCAGAGATAGGAGCTACATATCCAGGAAAAACTTACAAAAAACATAAGAGTTGCTACAACAAATAACCCACTGCTGAAACCCAGAAACCAGCAACTCACATCCAGGATGCTAAGAGATGATGCTAGACATTTCCCCAAGGGAACTGACTTTGCCATCCTTCATGTCTTCTATAAATAATGTATTATTTCTGGTGCTTCCTTCCTAACTTTGCGTTCTTGTGAATGGAAGTCATCTCCTTGGTGCATCTGCTCTGTGAAACCTCGCTCCCTCTGTGTCTTATCTTCAGGGGCAGCTGAAAAAGCACATTCTTGACTCCCAGTTGGGAAGGTTGTTTGTATGATGGTGGGCAGCTGCACACCTGTCACATGCTCACATTGGTCCTCCATGTCATCAATAACAAACCATATGATTACATAATTTCTTTGCTGAGCCCTATGCTATGTCTAATTGGTTCAAAATCACTAGGTTATCATGCTTCAAAGTCAATGTGAGTGCGAGAAAATTATGTCCTGATCTTAGTACTTGTAGCAGTTTTTAAAAATCAATCAAAACATTTTCTGAGTTTATAATGTGATGGAAGAAGAAAAGAACATTAATGAGAATACATGGAACTATATTAAATTTCTCTGTTACCTGACCAAAAATATCTGAGACTCTCATATGCTGATTTTTGAGCATCTCATCTAAGTTAAAACAACAAAGAAAAAAGAATAAAAATTAAGAGAAGGAATTGACAATCGATACATTTTGGCTAAGTCCTCACCCAAATCTCATCTTGAATTGTAGTTCCCAAAATTCCCACTTGTCATGAGAGGGACCAAGTGGGAGGTAATTTAATAATGGGGGTGGGTCTTTCCTGTGCTGCTTTTGTGATAGTAAATAAATCTCATGAGATCTGATGGCTTAATAAGGGGAGATCCCCTGCACAAGCTCTCTTGCCAGCCACCATGTAAGACATGACTTTGCTTCTCCTTTGTCTTCCACCTTGATTGTGAGGCCTCCCCAGCCATGTGGAACTGTGAGTCCTAGACCTCTTTTTTCTTTTTTATAAATTACCCAGTCTCAGGTATGTTTTTATTAACAGTGTGAGAACAGACTAATACAACAATGCAAGAAAATTATAGGAAAAATTATAATAACACTAATCGAAAAAGTAGAATTCAAGACAACTTGCTCTAATTAAAAGATATCTATATTGAAACTAGATTAAAATAAAAAAGCAAAACCAACTAAATGCCACTTAAGGAGAAAATCAATAGAAATACAGAAGGTTTGAAACTAAGATAATGGAAAAGAATAGATCATAAATCAGGGTTTGTTATATTAAAATCAGAAAAAACGTATACAAAGTACTTTTTGAGACAAAAACTTTACCTAAAATAAGGAGAGATAATTTCCATTGATAAACTTTCTAGCATGAGAAATTGTGAAAAATTTTAACTGTATTCACCTGAAACATGGCCTTAGAACTACAAGAAAAAGTAAGCATACTCACAATTATAATGGATATTTCAGTACCTTCCTAGAAGCATTTGATAAGGTAATCATATAAAAAATCAACAAGCATGAAGAAAATTTGAAAAATATGATGAGCAAAGTTGATCTAATACAAGGTTAAGTATATAGGATATTTCTGAAGTAATAATTAAAAGTTCATATATAGCTTTAAATGAATATTTTGGAAAAAAGAAAGTAAATCAATAAATTTAGTATCCATCTTAGAAATTAGCAAAATATATCAGAAATAAAGTACAAGAAAGGGAATAATAGAAGTAAGAGCAGAATTCAACAAACTAGAAAACAGATACAAAATAGAGAAAGTAAGCTAATCTAAAATGATATTTTAAAAAGATTTAATGCAGTTGATAAACCAGTTACAAGACTAATTAAAACAAAAGTGAAAAGGCACAAATAACAAATGTCAACTAAATAGAATAAATCAATATATTCTGTGGATAATAAAATAAGACATGGATACTATATACATTTAAATATCATATGAAATAACAAATTCCTGGGAAATGACACATTATAAGTTTGTAGAAAAATGAACAGAAAAAAAACCCCACTGTCCTATAACTACTAAAGACATTGCAAATATGACTAAAATATTTCCATAAGAAAACTCCAGGCCAATGGTTTCCCCAGAGAATTTTATCATTCATTAGAAACAAACAACTAAAAACATAAATAATAAAACATTTACACTCTTTCAAAGAAAGAAAAAGGATGTTTCCCAACTTAGTGACTCAGTTTATGCAATCAGCATAACTTTAATATCAAAAGTGGACAAGGACATAACAAGAAAAGAAAATTAGAGGTTGGATCCCAGGCATGAACACAGAAGCAAAAGTCGTAATTAAAAGCTCAGTGAAAAAACAAAATTAAAGGGTAATGTATCACATCACAATAATTGTGTTTTATTCTGGAAAATCAAGTTTGGCTTAACATTTGAACTCCATAAATGTAAATATCAATAGTAACAATAAAGGAAAAAAATGTTAATTTTACTATTTAATAAAAGGGGTTGAATAAATTTTAATGTATATATTAATGATGGAAGCCCTTAGAAAATTAGAAAGAGAAAGGAACTTTATATATATGTGTATGAACAGCAAACACTGTTAATAGTAAATGTTGGAAGCTGTATAATTGGGATGGACCCTGAAGCAAGATGACCAGTCTGCTTGCAAAAGTTTTCCTGAACATGATACATGGAGGGTCCACACAAGAGGATGGCTAAAAATAGGTCAAAGCATTGGAAAGAAAGACATAAAATTGTCTTTATTTGAGTAATATAATTTTGAATGTAGAAAACCAATAGAATCCAAAGATTAATTAATTAAATTGATAAGCAAATTTAACTAGGTTTCTGGATATAAGATGATTGCAATTTGTATATAAGCCACAAACAGAAAAATAAAATGAAAAAGATGCCATTTACATGAAGTGAAAATATCAAATACCTTAGACTACAATTGAGAAAGATGTGCAAGACTTCTACATAGAAAATTATAAATCATTGCTGAGATAAGTCAAAGAATAGTTAATAAATGTGAGAAAAAGATCGTGCTTAGAAAATTCAGCATATAAATATGTCAATTATTCTCATAGTAATTGATTTAGAGATTCAAGGCACTCTCAGGCAAAATCATAATAGTTATTATTTTAAAAATGTGCTATATGTTAACAAGTTGATTATAACATTTATTTTGAAATGCAAAGGGCTAAGATTAGTTAAGACACTATTATAAAAAAAGAAGTGGGGAGACTTGATTTACCACATATAAATACTTGTTTTAAAAGCTTTACTAATTACACCTAACTAAAATGATAGACCAGTACCACAGACCCCGAAACAAACTCACAGATACGGACCCTTGATTTATAAAAATGTTGGCACTCTAGAGCAATGGAGAAGGGGAATTGAACTGAAATTCATTTAGTTGAATTGGGAAAATGAGTTGAATTGGGAAAGTCCATATCAATACAGAAAAAATGAAGTTTAATCGACATCAGCATCACACACAAAATTAATTCTATGTGGGTTGTACATGTAAAAGGCCAAACAATAAATCTTCTTAGATGGAAATACAGGAGAGTATATTCATGGCTTTGGTAAAAGGATGTTTTCTTTAAAAATAAAGGGAAAGATAAATGTAATTGACTATGTAAAAAGAATACATATTCAACAAAGGGAATGTTTCCTGAATATATGAAAAAGTCATATAAATCCACAGGAAAAAGAGCCACAACCTAGCAGAAAATTGACAATAAACCTCACAAAACAAAATATCCTAATGGTCTATGAATGTATGAAAGTGTGCCTTAACATCATTAGTAATCAGAGAAGTGCAAAGTAAAACCACAGTGAGACATTGTGACACACAGAAGGGCTAAAATGAAAATGACTCATGGTCATTTTGGTTGGAGCATATGGTGGAAAGGCACTTCTACCCCATGGCAGTGAGAGTGTGAATCAGTACACCTACAATGGGACAGCATTTGATGTTCAGATACCAAATGGAAGATATGTTTAACTTAGACCCATTTCAATACCACTCCAGAAATGCATGCACATGAGCACCAAGAAAATTCATATTATTATTCATAATTCTGAACTGAAAGCAAACCAAATGCATGTCAACAATTGCATAAGTTAATTGTAATATATTCATTCAAAATAATACACACTGCAGTGAGAATGTATGAACCCAGGCTGCAAAGTTGAAAAGACTTTCACAATTTTGTGTGAAATTAACAGGTCACAAAAGAGCACAAAACAAATTATTACATTAAAGTTACACATATCACATGCATGCATATGCGCACACAGACACGGGGATATGAAAACCATAAAGTTTAGAGATGCATGCTTAGGTGCCAAAATTATAGACAAAACCAAGGCAGAGATTGCCGTCAGCAGCAGGATAGTGGATAGCTGAAGAGGGATGATTAGGACAGAGAATGAAATGCTCATTTGGGGAACTGGCCATACTTATTACTCCAAAATTATATGATAACTTGTGTTGTATATCTTAATTTTTGTTATACTTAACATTTTTAAAGCAACTATCAAGTACCAGAAGAAAATACAGTTTAGTAATTTTTATAATCGTAGAGTGGGGAAAATATAAATATAAATAATAATAAATACAGTCCATAAGTGAAAGAAGGAATTAATTGAACTATATTTAAGAACAAATGAAGCCAAATAAAATACAATAAGATATGACAACAAAATATAGGTAGAAGGTAAGCACAGTTAATTGATAGATATAGAGACACAAATAGTTTCAACATATAAAGTATCATCCAAATCCTCTGATGGCAGATTTTTAAGAGGCAGTACAGCTTTTTTAGTGTAATACTACACCTCTCCCAGGTCCCCTGCTTTCCTCAGGAAAGGTCAAGAAGAAGCCCAAGAACTCTATCTGCCATTGGAAAGACCCTCATCTTTTCAATCCCTGAACACTCATAGCATTGCCTCCATTTTCTATGTTGAGGCTATCAACATTAATTGCACTGAAATTTTTTACTCTATTTCTGTCACCTACCACAAGAAGTCCAGATCACTGCGATAGCAGATTAAATATGGACATAGATTTTTTGATACAGTTAGTACTCTGTTTATCAGAAGTGAGGTACACTTCCCTTTCCCTTGAATCTCAGCAGGTCCTTTGGTTGCTTTGACCACTAATATACAACAGAAGTAAAGTTGTATCACTTTCCAGGACCTGACCTTAAGAGACTGGCAGCTTCCACTTTATGTTTCTTGAAACACTCACTTTGGAGCACTGAGCTACCATCTAAGAAGGCTAAGAGCCATTCTGCAGAATCCACCTGTAGAGGACCTCAGGCCACATGGAAGAGTGTCCTGCTGAGGTTAGCCTTCCAGCCAAGTCCATTAAGGCACCAGAAATGTAAGCTGAGCTGTCTTGGAGTTGGCTGAGATGAGGACAGCCATCAGATGAACACAGTCAACACAACACGGAGTGGAAGAATCATTTAGCTAAGTCTTGCCCAAATCTCTGACCTGCAAATCATGAGATATAATACTAAAATGGTTGCTTTTTTTAAACAACTAAATTTTAGGATAGGTTGTTACACATTCATGAACTATTAATATGTATTACTCTTTAATCTCTACATTTATTTCCATCTTACAGCTGCAAAATGCCCAAACCCTAAACATCCCTTGACCACTACTAGGATCTATCTATCTATCATCAATCTTACCGTTACAAAATCTCACTCGCTTCCTTCTTTTACCAGATAAACTCCAAAGCCAATCATAACTTCCTTGACATCTCTTTCCTTTTTATTCAAAACCCCAATTTCCATTAAATCCATCACTCCTTATACTATACACCTGCACTAGGCAGATGAATACTGGAAAGAAAAAAGCTATATTGATGGGTTTTGCTTCAAATTTATTGCCACTAACTTCAAATGGGTCTTTATTTTGCTCATCAGTCATTTTGTATTTTCCTAGATTTTCACTCTCCTACTTAATCCAGGTCTCTGTTTACAACTTTTCCTTTATTCTCAAGCCCTAAACTCACATTCAGTTGACAATCTTTGCTTCCTATTTTCTTGAGAAAAGAGAAAAACTCAGAGCGAAAATTGCAGAATTTCCCACCTCCACAAATACCTACTTATCAATATCAGTACCTGTTTACTCTCCTATTTCTAATAATTTTCTGTCTGTATATCCAAAGCAAATATTTCTACTTTTTTAGTAGATGATATTCTCTTTCAACCCCTCAGGGAAAAGCTCAGCTTTCCTTCCATCTCTTTTCTTCACCAGCAGTTTTTCCTTCTCAACTAAATCCTTTCCATAGAAAGCATATGCTTTAATTTCTCCCATTAAAAAAAAATCCTTTACTGATGTCACACACCCTCCACCTACTGTAACATAACTCTGTTCCTCATTAAGGCAAAATCTGTAGAAATGATTGTCTACTGTTTCAATTCTTCTTCTCCCTTTCGACCTCAGATTCCTTCTAATGAAGACTTTGCTTCCACCACTCCACTGAAATTGCTCTTACCTAGGTCAATATGACTTCTAATCTTACAAAATTCAACTGGTGATACTCAGTCTTCAACTGACTTGACCTATAAGCACCATTGGCATTCTCTTCATGAAATACTTAACTTGATTCCCAAGTCACTGCTCTCTCCTGGGTTTTCTCCTCGGTTTCTGGCTTTTCTTTCTCCACTGCCTTGGCTTGTTCTGACTTATTTTCTTGACCTTGTAACACTGGATTGCTCCACAGCTCGGTCCCCAAGATCTCTTCTTTACCAACCTCCACTCCATTCTAGATCTCACCCAGTCTTATGGCCTAAGCACCCTCCATTGGTTGACTTCCACATGTACATTTCCAGCCTGGACCTCTCCCGTGAACTCTAGCCTCTTACATCCAGCTTCTCACACAGCATTTCTGTTTGGATATCTAATAAGCATCTTAAACTTAACATGCCCAGAACTGAACTCCTCATATTCTCTCTAAAACTCAGGCTTCTCACAGTGTTTGCCATTAGAGTAAATGTAAACTCTATCTTTCCAAATGCTCAGGCCAAAATCCTTGGAGTCATTCTTGATTTCACTCTGTTGAATACCCTCTATCCAATATGTTAGTGAATTCTGTTGGCTCTACCTGTCCATAATTTACTACATTTTACATTTCACTGCTACTGTCATAACCCAAGACACCATAATTTCTTTCCTGAATTATTATAATAAACTTTTTTTTTTTTTTTTTTTTTTTTTTTGAGATGGAGTCTTACTCTGTCGCCCAGGCTGGAGTGCAGTGGCACGATCTCGGCTCACTGCAAGCTCCGCCTCCCGGGTTCACGCCATTCTCGTGCCTCAGCCTCCCGAGTAGCTGGGACTACAGGCGCCCGCTACCACGCCTGCCTAATTTTTTTGTATTTTTAGTAGAGACGGGGTTTCACAGTGTTAGCCAGGATGGTCTTGATCTCCTGACCTCGTGATCCGCCCGCCTCTGCCTCCCAAAGTGCTGGGATTACAGGCGTCAGCCATCGCGCCCGGACTATAATAAACTTCTACTTGGTCTTCTTGCTTCTGTCCTTGCCCCATAGTCTATGGTAAAGATCATAGACAGAGTGAACCTGTTAAAAAATAAGTCAGATCATGAAAATCTGCCACAAATTTTCCAATTGCTTCTATCTTACTCAAAATTAAAGTTAAAAACCTTATAATATCATATATACATCATACATCTGCACTCCTTTATTTCTTCTTGCCCCACCTTTTCTTGTTTGCACCGCTGGCTAATTGTTCCTAAACATCTCAGCCAAATTCGTGTCTAATTTCTATTTGCTCGTTGGTGTGCCTTGGATGTTACCTCCCCGGTGATCTCAGTGTCTCTTCTCCTTACTTCCTTAAGATGTTTGCTCAGGTGTCATCTTCTTCATGATGCCCACCCTGACCACTCTAGTTAAAACAACTAATCCTTCCCCAATCTAAGCACTCTATATCCCTTTACTGTTTTTTTTCCTAGAGCATACAATTATTGATTAATTTATTTTTGGTCTCAATGACAGAACATCAGCTTCATAAAGGCAGGGATTTTGATCTAATTTGTTCATAGCTGTGTCCCCAGCACCTGCAATAGTTTCTAGCATATAGTAGGCACTCAGTAAATATCTGTAGAATTAATAAATGAATGAAAATTAGACAAAGATGAAATACTCTTCACATATAGCAAGTTTCCACAAAATTACAAGGAAACGTTAATAACAAACAGAATTGCAAAGATTTTGAATAAATGTTAAAAATGGGCATTATATCTATGAGAAAAAGTTCATCCAGTCAGGGTTATTTTTAAAATTCAGTTGATTTTTCTATCAGACTGTTAAAAATAAAACTGATAGTACCCAAGAATAGGGGCAATTTTTAACAATCTTTTGGAAAAGCAATTAGGTATATAATAGTATATAATTTAGTCTTTACTTAAGAACTGATTGGGCTATATTGCTATTATTATTGTCATTTTATAGATCAGAAAATTCAGGCATAGGCAACAAATTAAGTAATTTGTTTTAGATCACACAGAATATAAGTAGAAAATGCCAACATTAAAATCAGGCATTTTGTTTTAGAGTTCATACATTTAATCACTGCTTATTACTTCCAATTTTATTGATGAAAATATTGAGTTTCTGGTGTTACGGAATTTTTTCAGAGCAACACAGGTGAGGGTTTGAACTCAGGCAGTTGTGTTCCAGGGACTATGTTTTAAATTGTTACATTATATGGCACTCTAGTAGTGGGAGAATTTCAACCCACTTCTGTTATGTCATAATTAATCATGTAATACAAAGTAAACAAAGTTGTATAATCATTAGGTTGATCCAAAAGTTACACATTAAATCCCATGTATAAAAAGGGTAGTTGGTGCAATATGTGGCATTCAAGTTGTAAAGATGGATCCCATCCACCACATGACAAAACTTGATTCTGACTCACGATGGGTGAGCAAACATGGAGTATGTCCTAATCAGAAATCAACAGGATATGGGGCTTCAGCTGGGCCAAGACTGTTCTGGAATAGCTCCATAACCCTCCCATGGCAGTCACTGCTGATAATCTATCCATAAACTTTTTTCCCTCTCCCACTCTTCTCCCCAAATTATACTTCCCTACCACTTTGCCATTAATAATGTAACCCTGAATTTTCTCAGGTAGTACCTACCGTATTTCTCCAAGGGATTCTATTGGCATTTTAGGAAGAAAAATCTTATTTTTAAAATTATTGCAAATAATCTCAATATAATTTAGAAAGTAAATAAGTTATAAACTTTAAGTCTATAAATAAATTTTTAATGTTTAAAAATGTAATCTCGCTTGTTTCAGATTGAATTTAGAACTTAAATGAGTGAATGTGTGATTAGCATTTATCACTTAGTAGGTTCACATGTCCAAATTATTTATTGAAAATAAGCTTTTGGGTGATGTAATTACACATTTCACTGCCTTTGATCTCACTTTCAGATTTTGCTGGAATCCCGTAAAGGCTTTCGTTTTGATTTCAAGTTTAATTTCAGATAGACTCTCCTGTAATTCAGTAAGTAGCATGCCAATTATTTTCCAAACAATTCAGCTGTCGGAAGTATGGTTCTGTGAAAAACTTTTGAGAAATTCCAGGACACTGGGAGTCACCAGTATTACTTTCTTTGGCAACATTCTTGGGACAGACATAGGCGGCATGATAAAGGACAGGAGTGATTCAGCCTCATAGTGAATACATCCCATGTGAAATCAGGGCTGACCACCCTTTTATTTAAAGCATATTAAAATGATGGGAATTGAACAATGAGAACACATGCACACAGGAAGGGGAACATCACACACCGGGGACTGTTGTGGGGTGGGGGAGTGGGGAGGGATAGCATTAGGAGATATACCTAATGCTAAATGACAAGTTAATGGGTGCAGCACACCAACATGGCACATGTATACATATGTAACAAACCTGCACGTTGTGCACATGTACCCTAAAACTTAAAGTATAATAATAATAAAATAAAATAAGTAAAAAAAAAAGATCCACCCATCTATTATTATCAGTGAGGGTTATATAATGATAATATCACTTTTAGGAAATGTTACACAATCATTTTTTGTTTAATAAAATTAACACATTTTATGACTTTTTGGTCTATTGTTTGTGTTCTCAAAGAATAGCCTTGAAAGTTACTTAGTAATAGCTACAGTATAATATTGTGGCCTTTAGTTTCCATTTCATAGACAATCTTAAAACACTATGTGCCTTGTGTTACTTCAATTGTGCTTTCCATTTTCTGAGACAGGGGCTGAAAAATATTTAATTAAGAAGACACAAATCCTGAGCAAACACACACCATGCTGTGTCCTTTATCAATGTTGATCTTTTCCTGGGGCTGGGGGTCTAGTTTTATTTTGGGGCAGTGTTAAGGATGTCTGGAGATCACTGGCAAGCAATATGTATTCTCAGGGCCAAACTAATCTAATCCAATGTGAATCTTGAAACAAAAGGAACACTGTTTCAAAATGATAACTGGAATTTCTAAGTACTTTTATGTTTAGATTGTCACCTACTTCAGTTGCTGGAGAAGTTTCAAAAGGTACATTCTGTGGTTATATTAAGCACAGGCTTCAGAAGAACTGGCCAGAAAACAGGAGTCAAATCGTCAGTGACAGGGTCTCCATCTACCCCTAAAAGAGTATCTTCAGCCAGCATGGTGGCCCAAGCCTGTGATCTCATCACTTCAGGAGCCTGAGGCTATGGGGATGGGTAGGAGCTTGTGTGGATAGGGAATGGGGGGAGAAGAGAGAAGGAAAGAGGAAGTTGTGTACCACTCTTTTGTAAGTTTCAGGGGGAAGAAGAAATGGGTTCCCGAATTCAACCATATGTCTTCTTGAAGGAAACTAAAGATATAATAAGCAGATCTTGCTACACATTGCAGCACTTACTGTTTTCTGTTTGAGTGGACTGATGCCCTATCCATTGGTAAATTTTAAGTTTTCTTTCTATTTTCCTATGGTGGGATGGCTGTGCTTGGGAGATAAGAGAAAAGAGAAAAGAAAAGAAGTGAAAACATTTATTAGAGAAAATTAAAATATCTTGGCTTAGTGTATCATTCAGTGGAGACTGGTCAGTTGAAACTTCTACTAGTATAAAAATAGAAATAAGGAAACATTGGCTGGGTGCGGTGGCTCACACCTGTAATCCCAACACTTTGGGAGGCTGAGGTGGGCAGATCACGAGGTCAGGAGTTTGAGACCAGCCTGGCCAACATAGTGAAACCCTGTCTCTACTAAAAATAAAAGAAATTAGCTGGGTGTGGTGGCATGTGCCTGTAATTCCAGCTAGTTGGGAGGCTGAGGCAGGAGAATCACTTGAACCTGGGAGTCGGAGGTTGCAGAGAGCCAAGATCACGCCATTGTATTCCAGCCTGTCCAGCCTGGGCAACAAGAGTGGAACTCCATCCCAAAAAAAAAAAAAAAAAGAAAGAAAAGAAAAGAAAAAGAAAATGTCATTTGTTAGATTTAGATTTAACTCCCACTTCAGGAATTAAGGAAATATAACAGTTTCCTTCCAATTAATTCAGGAAACCTGGAGAGTTGGGGTGGGGAAAGGAATTGTATCTTAAATGTGTGAGAATGCAGCTTATCATGTTGTTCTCTCTCTTTCCCTAATGTTCCTTTACAAACCCAGCCTTCCCAGGAAAAGTCTTTTTTCCCCCCTCTGATCTGGCTGTTCATGAGTGCTGTCCTTTGCCTCTCTTAGTTAGGGCTGGGTGAAACCCGTCAGGCTCACATCCATGGCTTTGATTGTCTCTCTTTTTACTTCCTGTATTGGATGTTTCTCACGTTTTCAATTGTATTTATGCTTAATTTTCCAAACATCTCTGTTCTGAACAGAGAAAAATATCTTATTTGGATATATACCCTAAATAGTGATAATAATAAGTTATTATTACAGTAACGCGCATTTACCGAGCACTTACTGTGTGGCACGTGCACCATGTTCCCTCCCACTTTGTTTCATTGCAGCAGCTTTTTTTTCCCCCAGGATGCTCTTCATCCTGCTGCCCTTTCTTAACCCTTACTTATACCTTAGGCCTCTGCTGACTGGGAATTTCTCAAGAAATTCTTGCAAAGTCCCTCACGGCATCATGAACTGCTCCTTCCTTGCTTACATCACAATTGTAGCTTGGCTTTTATTTATGGGTAGGCTTCATACACCACTGCACTCGGGATCTGCCTTCCACTCATCTTCCCACTGATCCTCCCCATCCCTGCCCACCTTCTTTTTCCATTAGCCCAAGACAACTGACAACATGATATACGTGGCAGGCGAGACCACCAGGTGAGGTAAGAAGGTATTCCCAAGACAACTCCCACAAAATTTGGGGGATGTTATGAGTGGTGGGAACCCATGGAAAGTGGTAGAAGAATCACTGTCCATGTGGTGGATTTAAAGCATTTCAAGGCTCCCCAGAGCACAGAGCTTGCATGTTGCTCAAGCATGGTCCTTAATTAGGGGCTGCAAGAAAGATGCAAACCTGGACATTAAGCCATTCCATAATGATCAGGGTGACCCAAGGATGACTGAAGGGCCTGCATGAATATTTTTCTTTATATACAATCTCTGAGCCCTCACAGATCAGTGGTGTGAGGGGAGGGTGGGCATTGATAAGTCCTGAGTAAATTTTGCGCCATGTAGGCGGCATGGTGTACACTGTAAGAGACAAGAAAAAGAAAGAAATGATTTGCTTTTTGCATTCACATTTTTGGAGTAATATTCACACTTACTTCACCTATGGTAATGGTGAGAAAGAAGAAAAGAGAGAATAGTGGTGGTCCTGCTTTCACTGAGGAGCTCTCAGGAAGCTCATATCTGAGTGCTATTTGGCATAAAATTCTTAGCACTATTAAGGTCATTGGAAGAATGAAGGAGGCAAGTAAACTGGTCATTTTCAGTCCTTGCCCCATGTCATTACTCACGCATGGCTCTGTGACTTAAGGCAAGTGATCACACTTCCTGGGACTCAGCTTTCTCATCTTAAAATTATAAATAATTGGTGTGTGTGTGTGTGTGTGTGTGTAAACTTTGAATGTTTTGGTGGAGGAAGTAATACAGATTCTCCAAACTAGGCCACTTTGATTTAAATGTCTTCAATTTCAACATAATATTCTTCAACTTTTCTCAGCATTGTGGTTTGACATATTTTCCAGGCTGATAATATTTATTTAGTTTATTGATGTGAACTGCTGTATAGTTTTCCGTTGCGTGAACATATCACTTGGTTTTATTACTTCATTCACTCAGCAAATGTGTGAAGACCTACTTTAGTAAAGGTACTAGGTTCTGGGGGCATCAGAGTGAACCAAACCCATAAAGTCCCACCTAGCACGTAGTTTACATTCTTATTGGGAAGAAGGGAGCAAGTGAAAAGAAAAAGAGAAAGTCGTTGGAGATGAAGTCTAAAAGATAAAATGTCCTATATGCCTAGGACATTTTAGACTACAGAAAGCATTTAATCCAGAATGTGATGTTTCAACCACAGGAATAACTTCATCTGATTTTGGTTGTCTAGGGATTATTCTAACTACCACGTGCAGAACAGAAGGTAATGTATAAGCTTGGAAGCAGAGAAACCAGTTAAGATGCTATTGCTATAATCGAGACTGGAAATGAGGAAGACCGGGACCAAAGTCACAGTGGTGGAAGTGATTGCATTTCACTATTTTTTTCTGTTTTTCTTTTTAATTATGTTATTATTTCCTCTTTTTTTAATGTTAGAGAGAGTCATCAATCTACGTTGATGCTTGGGATATTAAGTTGATAGAAGAGACAAGAAAACTCCACTTTTTATTAATTCTTGTACTGATATTTAGACACGTCCTACTTTTTTCTATTTTCAACTTAAATCTTTCTTTTTTGTCATTAGTTATCATTAGTTTATTATAAAAGAGAAATATGGAAATTATTTACATGATGAAAGATTTCAGAACTTCAGTGGAATGGGCAGCTTCATGTTGATGCCATTTCTTTTTTTTAATTATAATTATACTTTAAGTTTTAGGGTACATGTGCACAATGTGCAGGTTAGTTACATATGTATACATGTGCCATGCTGGTGTGCTGCACTCATTAACTCGTCATTTAGCATTAGGTATATCTCCTAATGCTATCCCTCCCCCCTCCCCCCACCCCACAACAGTCCCCAGAGTGTGATGTTCCCCTTCCTGTGTCCATGTGTTCTCATTGTTCAATTCCCATCTATGAGTGAAAACATGCGGTGTTTGGTTTTTTGTCCTTGTGACAGTTTACTGAGAATGATGATTTCCAGTTTCATCCACGTCCCTACAAAGGACGTGAACTCATCATTTTTTATGCATAGTATTCCATGGTGTATATGTGCCACATTTTCTTAATCCAGTCTGTCATTGTTGGACATTTGGGTTGGTTCCAAGTCTTTGCTATTGTGAATAGTGCCACAATAAACATACGTGTGCATGTGTCTTTATAGCAGCATGATTTATAGTCCTTTGGGTATATACCCAGTAATGGGATGGCTGGGTCAAATGTTATTTCTAGTTCTAGATCCCTGAGGAATCGCCACACTGACTTCCACAATGGTTGAAGTAGTTTACAGTCCCACCAACAGTGTAAAAGTGTTCCTATTTCTCCACATCCTCTCCAGCACCTGTTGTTTCCTGACTTTTTAATGATTGCCATTCTAACTGGTGTGAGATGGTATCTCATTGTGGTTTTGATTTGCATTTCTCTGATGGCCAGTGATGATGAGCATTTTTTCATGTGTCTTTTGGCTGCATAAAAGTCTTCTTTTGAGAAGTGTCTGTTCATATCCTTTGCCCACTTTTTGATGGGGTTGTTTGTTTTTTTCTTGTAAATTTGTTTGAGTTCATTGTAGATTCTGGATATTAGCCCTTTGTCAGATGATTAGGTTGCGAAAATTTTCTCCCATTTTGTAGGTTGCCTGTTCACTCTGATGGTAGTTTCTTTTGCTGTGCAGAAACTCTTTAGTTTAATTAGATCCCATTTGTCAGTTTTGGCTTTTGTTGCCATTGCTTTTGGTGTTTTAGACATGTAGTCCTTGCCCATGCCTATGTCCTGAATGGTAATGCCTAGGTTTTGTCTTTAATTATTTGCAGCATGGCTTCCATAAATCACTGAATTATTCCTTTATTCTTTTATAAATTTTGTGATTTCTGAGAGCTGCTCTTTTAGAAATTTTCAATGCCTACATAGAAATATGTAAGAATTTTCCTTTAAATAGGTGTTGCATCCCTCCTTTGCAGATTTGAACATGATATTCCAGTTATTAACATGTTCATTAGCAGAAAGTTCCTTTGGCATGTTTAAGTGGAACATGCATAAAGTGATTCTAAAATAATCATCTATTTACTCTATAATGTTGGAAACTCTTTAAATAGACAATATCCTGGTTCTTTATTTTTAAAATTTGCTAGTATTTTATTTAGCATTTTCTAATTAAACATTTTTTATTGTGGTAAACACTTAGCATGAGATCTAGCCTCTTGACAAACTCTAAGTGCACAATACAGTATTAAGTATGGACACAATGCTGTACAGCAGATCTCTAGAACCTATTCATCTTGCATGACTGAAACTATATATCCATTGAACAGCAACTTCCTATTTCCCCTTCCCCCAGCCCCAGGCAACCACCATTTCACTTTCTGTTTCTATGAGTTTGACTATTTTAGATACCTCCTATAAGTGGAATAATGCAGCATTTGTTATTCTGTGACTGGCTTATTTCGCTTAGCATAATGTCCTCCAGGTTCATCCATATGGTCACATATGGTACGGATGTAAAAAGATGGAGCAGTTGTGGAAAACAGTAGGAGAGTGCCTCAGAAAGTTAAAAATAGAACTACAGTATGGCCCAGCAATCTCACTTCTGGGTATACAGCCAAAGGAAATGAAATCAGGCTCTCGAAGAGGTACGTGTACTCCCACGTCTATTGCAGCACCCATCATACTATATGTATGTGTATATTTTCATAACAAAGCAACTGTTTTTATCGTCTCCTCCATGTCTTTGCAAATATACTTTGCAAATCCAGCACAACTGCTCCAAGTCATCTGCATGAAGATTTGACAGTGGTCTGTAGAGAAGGCAAAATATTAACCGCTTAGTAGCTGGAGGTGTAATTGGAAAGATTTAAGATGTAATGTTACTGCTTTGGGGGTTTGCTTTTTGGATCACAAATTGTCTTCTTTTCACATTTGATGGTAGCATCTTGAGGGGGTAAGATGAAATCTGGAGGAAAAAAAATCTAAGAGGAGCAATTACAAGCAATAGGAATTATACCAAATGATTAGTTGTACTTCTCACCAAGAATAATATTATAGTCAAAGAACACTTTTGTTACTGTGTTGAACTTAAAGATTTTAGTTGTATGTGAATTTCATTATATTTTACTGTTTTAAAATTTCAAACTGGGACTAGGACTTGACAAATGAAATAGTGAGGCCTGTAATGGTTGAGTTGTGGTAAGATTTATATATATATTTTTTATATATATGTGTGTATATATACAAACTCAATTTAATGAATCTAGAACCTAGACTAATTAGCAAAAAGATCAGTTCAAAAACATTTATAAAGTTTGTGTGCTGGGCTTAGTATCTCATACATCTGAGTCAAGGAACCCAGCCATTCACTAGGTAAGAGCTCTCTCAGGCCTTCAGATTTCTAGTCGATATAGTGGGGACAAAATGTAAATTATGCACCACTTAACTAAGAATTTAACCCATGTATGTCTGAGGTTTCAAGTTTTTGAATTTTTACAATCAGACCTTGGCTATGACCTTGCGCAGTAGGATATAAATAACTCCCACCTGCTTAGCGTTCCAATAATGGAACACTAGGCATAAATGGGCTGTCATAGGCTAGTCCTTAAAAAAATTGTATCAAGAGTAGAATCACTACTTTCCTTGTCTAACTTAAGGGAGTTGCTGAAAGTTGTAGTGTTCCTTCAATTATAGAACTTAATGTTTTAGAACTTTGGGCAGTTTATCAACGATAACTATCTAGTAGTTAAGGTTACACAAGTACACAAGTGTTAGTTAAGAACTGTTGGAGTGCAGTGAATTGTGGTTGCTGAACCAAGGAGCAGAGTACTGACCAGTACTTTTAAGAGAAACTTTCAAATCTATTTCAAAGCTGTATCTGATTATAACAGAATTCCTATTCTGTTTATTCCTGATACTGATATTTTAATGGTCCCTCATAGTCGTTTAAAGATTTTCAACAAAATATATTAGCTCAGAAATGGCATTGAAAGACCAAGCTTAAATTTTTTTTGTTTAAAAAAAACTAATCAACAGAATATATTGGCTAATTTGGTATCCTTTTCAAGGAATAATTTTATCTCCTCCCTACTTCCATCCCTACCTGCCTCCCTCCCTCCCTGCCTCCCTCCACCCATCTATCCATCCACCCATCATTAGGTACTCATACATTCAGTATATGTGCATTGGTGTGTTTGCACTAGATAGCAAGAGCTAATTCTGTGCATCTTTTCCCAGTTTTACATTCAGTATCCTCAAGGTGGTAGCATGAAATTGGACGTGGTGAGACTCTACATCACAGAAAGTAGCAAATGCTTTAAATCTGCAGTGCCCCTGAGCCACCACACACACCTCCTCACCCCCAACACACAGTGTCCTGGCTGTTAAACATTTACTAGCAGAGCACTGTCATGCCACTAAGTCCATTTGGGATTGGTTTAAAAATTAAACACAGTGCAAAATAGATGATTAACCTGAGGATAATGGGGTGCAAACTAAAGTAAGCTGTAAATTGCACATACAATTTAAAGACAAATTTAGTTTAAAAATCATAAACCAACAAATTTGAGGAAAAGAAAAACTATTTCCCTGAAACTGACCTAAGAACCACGTATTTTTGTCTTTAATGTTATAAAAGCCACTATTGAAATGGGCAGTTCTTTGGCTGATGATATACAAATGATAAAGTCATAATATTTAAAAAGATATAATTATTTTTAAAGATTATAAATGTACTACATTTCAATATATCAAATTTTTATTTTTCTAGCTCTTTGACTCAAATGCTTATTTATATTAATATTATTATTAAAATATTATTTTCCATTGAGTATAGGTTTACAGAACCTTTCATAAATTTTTACATATATTCCTTAACAATTATCATTATTGTTATTTTCTAAATTCTCTAAATCTTTAGCTTTGATTTTTTTATTTGGCCAAATATTTACTTAGGAGATTTATTTGTTAACATTCTAAGTAGTTTGAGTCTTAACTGTCATTCTTCTCTTTTTAAGTTCTAGTTTTATTTCGGTATGATCAAAGTATGTGGCTAAGTTCTACACTTTAGAATATAATTAGAATTTTTTTAACTACAGTAGAATTGGTTTTTATATATGTTCCATTAATATGTGTATCACGTGTGTATGTAGCTGCTTAATCAGCTCATTTTTTAAATCATTAAATTTATATGATGTTTTAAATATAATTTTTGTCTGTTACATCTAGCATTGATGAAGAAATAGCAATGTCAAATCATTTTAATTATATATAGGTATAATTTTAATTTGCTTAAGTGTAATTATTTGTGTTTTACATATATTTCGAATGTTATCTGATGCCTAACAGTTTATTACTGCTTCACTGTGAACTAAACCCTTATCAATATAAAATGTTTCTCTTTTTTAAATTTAATAATTTTGCCTAGAATTCTACTTTTTCTTGTATTTATTCACTGCCTTTGTTTTTTGTCTACATTTTCCTGTCATAGTTTGCCCATTCATCTATTTTGCTGAAAATATTGTCATCACATTTTATTAGTGTCTCCTGTTTACATCTAAAAATAGTTTAATGTAATCTAAAAATCACTTTCTTTTAACAAATGTTAAATCTATACAAGTTGACTGAAATTTCTCATGAACTTCATTTCATGACTTTTGCATTTATTGCTTTCTTGTTTCCCATCTGATCTTTGTTTCTATTTTTTGAAATATCGCTTAAACTTTCTTAACGCTTTACTTGCTATAGTGATTTTAAGTTACATACACTATCTTTACCCTCTTCTTTTTCACATTAAAAACAAACTAATTTGTAAATTAAATTGTATGCAGTATGAATAGAGAGCCAGTCCTGCTTGTTAATCTCTGCCACACCAACTTTGAACCAGATCTTTGCACAGGAAAATGCTGAACAACTATTTGCTAAATGGGTAAATAAATCAATAAACGTTATTGATAAAACATGATTCTTCTACTATATCAGAATAAGAAATTTAAAATACTGGCATTTCTTCTTTCTTCCTCAGTCCTGTTACTATTCTTATTTTATTGAAATAAAACTGGATATTGCTGTTAATTTGTTTTTAACAATATGTTCTTTTCCATCCATGAGTTAGTTTTTGACGTTTGTCAAGTTTCATAACTATGTTTATAACAATTACTCAGACACCAACTCTGTGTTAAGTTCATTACTCACTGCCTTTTCCTTTGAACCACACATACCCTCAAATTGAGTTAATTTATTGGTTTTGATTCATTTCTTGGTTGAATGAAGCACTTCCTTGAGTAATCTTTTCAAGACAGATAAGTGGGTAGCATACTTCCTGAGTCATTTTGTGTCTGAGAAGGTTGTTCTGCTCTCACTAATGAATGTTGATTTGGCTGAGGTTAGAAATCTTGGGTCACAAACTTTTCTCCTGAAACTCTAAAAATACTTCTCCAATGCCCCATTTTATATAGTGCTGTGGAAGAAAAGTCTGATGGTATCTCAATAGCTCTCACTTTATTCTGCATGGAAGCTTTTATTAATAGAATATTATCTTGGTATTCAAAGTAATACAAAATAAATCATCATTCATCTAATTGTAGGTTGATTTTTATTACTATCTGACATTCTTAGGTCCTTGAACTAAATGTTGAACTTTTATATTAAACTGCTGTATTTTTTCACAATCATTGAATTTTCTGCACACACAGGATTATAGAGTATATTGTGTAGTAGTACAACATGTGATTTGAAGTCCGTTCTGTTAGATACTATTTGGGTCATTAACACATGCACAAACATAATTCCTAAGAAGAAAATATGTCTATATTTTCTATATAGTTTCTTAAAACACTGTTTTAGGATCAATAGGCCATGAAATACAGTGGAAAAGCTCTTGAAGTTCAGTGTGCTGTAGGGAAATTCACAGGGGATCTATTGCTTTCTACTCAGCTGCTCTGCTTATGGACATGTGGGTGTCTTTCTCAAAGTTCTTCATGAAATTTTTGCGCCTTTTATTGACTGAGCCTTGTCTATATTTAATTCCATCTTCTGTGAATAATTTTAAGAAGACTTTGGCTGTGTGCGACAGAAATCCCAAGTAACAGTAGCTTCCAGGAATTGGATTCTATTTTTTTCTTTCATTGTTAAATGAATGAACAGTCAGTGGGAACACAGTAATATATTTTGAGAAAGGGAGAAAGAAGCAAGATCAGGCACCCAGTTATGGTTTCTGAGCTAGAATGAAGGAAAGCCAGAGCCTTAGAAAAGAAATTAAAGTCAAAATAGCCTCAGTGATTGATTTTACAAGAACACTTGACTATTAGCTGTGCAGGTCACTCCTACCTGAAAATATTTTATCATTATCATCCACAGATATGGAAGTCGTATTAGGCGGTGTGGTGATCAGGAATATGGGCAAGACATTCTGGCAGATTAGATCTGAATCTTGTCTTTGCCACTCTGCTAGCCCTGGGGCCTTTAGCAAGCTACAGCACCAGTCTGTGTCTCAGGTTCCCCACATCCAAGAGGAGTAAATAGACTGCCTTACAGCATTATGGACACTTGAAGAGTCACTTGTAAAGTCAAGTCTGGCACAGAGGAAGTACTCATCAAATTTAGACATTATTGTGACCATATATAATGACAAAACTATGTAGTAGGCATGTAGGTGATCACTAAGCCAGAAGGAAAAGAATCTCTCTTGTGAAAGTGTGATATTGAGAATAGTAGTCCTGTATTCTCAAATTTTAGACTGTTCTGATAAATACCCTAGATTACATTTAATGAAATGTAGAACATGAATAACTTCTAAGAACTTCCACATAAAAGAGTACGTGATTCTCGCTTGTGACCAAGGGTTTTCTGAATTTATCTTTACAGTGGAGCCAGCTAGGAATCTCTTCAAAATTCCAAAGCCCTGGTTACACTCTAGACCAAATAAACCATAATTTGTGGGGCTAGGATGGAGGCATCAATATTTTTGAAGCTCTCCAGGTGATTCTAATATGCAAGTAACTGTGGAAACCCACTATTCTAACATATAATATCTTTATCTGGCATTTAGTTTCCTTATTTGTAAAATAGAAGTAATAACATCTACAGAAGGGTGGACTTCAGGATTAAATGAGAGATGTGAAAACAAATTTCTAAGTATCACATAACAGTTGGCTCAATGAAAAATAGTTTAATTCTACAAACTTAATTTTCTTTCAGTGAATACTTTAAATAATTTGAAGTCATTTAGACAGGCTTGAGTTTTATATCTTTCAATTTAAAAATAATTTATATCCTCTTCTTAAAATCTTCAATGAATGAAAAATGTTAGTGCCCATAATCATATTGAAAATTCCGATTTTTAAAAGTTTGCTCGTATGTCCTTTTGTCTCTAAGAACAGTACAAATGTTTACCAACTCTGACTGAAGAGTGAGCAATGTGTTGAGTACTCTTTATAAGAGAAATATCGCATCATCCAGCGCACCATACTTTACTGACGTCAATGTCCTGAAACAATTTGTTTGCTGAAAGTCTCGCCAAATCAGTGACAGTAAAAGTCGCAAGAATTTTCTTTAAATGTGGTTTGTGGCCAGTGGCAAAACCACAAAATATCTACGGATGTCTAGAACTGTAATTGTTTTTTTTGTTTTTTGTTTTTTTTTGTAAAACAATCTGCCCACAAAACAGGTAAAAGTACATTTGAAAAATGGCAGGCACTATTATTTATTTTCAAAATGAGAGCATCTGTCATCTTTGTTTTCTTAGCATTATGAATTTCTATCTGTAATATGTACATTCGTGACACATGGCATGGACAAGAGTATAAAAAGGAAAAAGTAGACCACCTAGGACCACTGAGGAGTTCCTCTATTGCAGGTGATAGCAAGGATTTAGGACATAATATCTTTACAAAACATTTTAGTCTTTTGTAGGACAAGAACCTGAGATCAAGTAACATCTCTGGGGATAATTTGTTAAATACTTTTTTGGCATTATCCCCAGTGCCAGTTCTCTAATTTCACTTAACTAAATGGAACTGATGTGTATTTAGTTAGAATCAAATGAAACTACCCTCAAACATTATATCTACTACAAACTTTGAAGAAAACAAATATGGAGTCAGAATGTATTGCTGATCTGGGACAAGTTAAAATAAATATCCTGGCCGGGAGCGGTGGCTCATGCCTGTAATCACAGCACTTTGGGAAGCCGAGGAGGGTGGATCACCAAAGGTCAGGAGTTTGAGAACAGCCTGGCCAACATAGCGAAACCCCATCTCTACTAAAAATACAAAAAATTAGCCTGGCATTGTGGCGGGCGCCTGTAATCCTAGCTACTTTGGAGGCTGAGGCAGGAGAATTGCTTGAACCCAGGAGGCAGAGGTTGCAGTGAGCTGAGATTGTGCCATTGCACTCCAGTCTGGGCGACAGAGCGAGACTCCATCTCAAAATAAAATAAATAGATCATTAACTAAATAAATAAATATCATTTCACTTAATATTCTCAAATATGTCAAAGGCACAGTAGGAAAAGGAACCACTAGAAGGAATTATTTTATATTTAACAAGATAAATAAATAAACTGTTGATAAATTCAAATTAAGTAGCCTGCAAATTCCATACTGGAATTGTCTATCTGCGTGTCTCATAGGTCCAATATACAATTTTACATTCTCAATGTGAGTTTGATAGAGAAATTTAGATTCCATAATTAGTGGGCATTTTATTCTATGCCTGAGCTTTCTTTAAATTAAAGTAAAACTATTTAAAAAGGAATTAGAATTTCTAACATGGGTATAGGCTGTTCCTGAGGAAGGGGGACAGGCTTTTGAAATTTATCAGGAGTACAAGTTTCCTCCCACCACATTGACATTAGTTTTAACTGCCAGGTGGAGAGAATACTGAAAATAGATTGTGCTACACAATTTAGAGTATATGCAAACAAAGCATGATAAAAAATGTTACCCCAACATCAAACATTTCTCTTGTAAGAAACTGCAATAATCCTTATTATTGCAATATCTCCTTTGAAAGAAATATATTGTCATATTGAGAAAAATAAATACATTCCCACCCTTCTGAGACAACAATTATCTAGAAAAGGTGCATTGCAGGAAATGGAGTTAGGCGTATTGGGAACTAGGGCGCTGGGCTGCAAAGTCAGCAGAAATTCCTTCAGAAAATGGGCACTCAGAAAAATCTGCTTTCTTACTTACAGGTTTCTCTTCTTCCTTTTTTAATACTGGGCATTCTCAGACCAGGTTATTCTTTACATTCTCATCACACTGCACAGTGCAAAGCCATGGAAGAGCTCAGTTTTCAGACAATGTGGGATGATGTTCAAGTCTTGACACATAATCAACAGTAAGACCAGCGCTCTGGCCAACAGAGTGGAAATATTCACTTTGAAAAGGCAAATCATAAACCAGAGTATGAGAATCACATTAAAGTATGCGTCTATAAAACACAACCTCTGTCCCCGAAGCTGACATTTGACCTGCAATACTTGCACATGAGAAATTATTTTCGGCCTCCCAAACATGTGCTTCAGAAATTGATCTGGAGATAATTGGTGAACCTTTCATATATAGACAGAATTTCAGAAAGCCATGCTTCTCTCCCAGTTCAGTCTCATTTACTCTCACCTATAAAGCAGAAGAACTAGAAGCTTAGGTCTAATAGAAATATAATAAGACCTGCCTGGTGACATTTATCTTCATGCTAAGAGAGTTGGTTTATGTACTTGTCCTCCACTTTCAGATGGTGTTAAATTCAACCATATTAGACCCCTCTCCTTATCTTCCATTGTTTTCCATAATTAATATGCTTACTCGTCACTTAAAATCTATTAAATATTGATGTAATAGGGAGGAAAGGTATACCTTTTATTTTTATTCTATTGTTATGTTTTATCATTCAAAATGTATTCTGATACATTTTAGAATTAGGAATACTAAGTAATGGGGTCCCCTTTTTTTCCTAGGGATCCTTAAGTCAATTGTATGGTTAAGATTTAATCGAATTTGTAGACTCTCTTGTCATATGTCACTAGTGTCACCATGCTATGGTGGGAATAAAAATGACTGTGGGAACTAATGCCTTGAATTTGAATCATAGTGCTTGTCCTTTAGATATATGGCCTTGAGCAGTTTGTCCTGCCTCAGTAATTTCCAGTTTTCCAGTGTGTAAAATGGGAGTGATAAACCCTACCTACTGCAGACAGGTGTAGTTGAGACTTTAGTACTGACACAAGTAAAGTGCAGTACCGTTATATAAATGTAGAAGGGTGTGAAGAATACAATAAAAATGGAGATATAAATTCTGCTGCTTTCTGATGTTACTCATGCTGCTCTGAAAGCAGGAAGGAGAACAAAAGAGTGGACCTGGCGTGATGCAGCTGATGACATGAGCGACCTGCTCAGGTCCCTTCCGTCTCACCCCTGTGATGCTCAATGGCCCAGCTTCTCAGGGCCTGAGGGTTTTCTGTGGTGAGCTCTGAGCATAGTCTGCTCAACTATAGGCATGCTGTTGTGAGGTGCTGGGAAATTAATGTTTCACCCTCCCCTACACAGTACCCTTCAATCCAAGAGTACTGAGAAACAATGAGTAAAGACACGGCCTGCTTTGCCTCTTGGGTGAGATACTTCCGAGGTACGTGTCCTATACCGGATCCCCATTCCCTGGCAGCTGGAGGAAGCTCAGGTGCCCGCAGTGGTGACTTGCTTGGTCACCCATTCTTGATCTTCCCTTCTCTATCACATCTCTCTGGTGTTTCCTGGGATCACCTCCAACTGGAACCTTTGTCTCATGGTCTGCTTCTGAGGAACCCAAACAAAGACAAGAGACTTCTACTGTCCCTCAAAGCCCTTCAGGCTTAAACCCCTCCAGGGTCATTCTTCACCTTTGCTGAATTCCTTTCAGTCCCATAAATTTCTTTCAATTCCTACAGGATATTCAGCTTGATCCTGTCTCAGAGCCATTGCCCGCGCTGTTTCCCCTCACTGGTTTGGGTTCTACCCTGTATCACTTTCACAACAGTTAATGGCAACTCATTTTTTTCTGATATCAGTCCGAAAGTTTATTTTTCAGGGAAGTTTTTCTTGACATTCCAGCCTACACTGGTTTCTACTTTTATATATTGTCTTATCCTTTAATCCTCATATAATTTATTATAGTTCATAATTACATACATGTGGAGGTATTTGACTGTCTCTCCCAAAGCAGCATAGAACTCTTAAGAAGACATAGATTATTTCTATTTTACTCACTAATTTTTCCCTAACTCCTGGCAGAGTGATGACTGTTTATTGAATGAAGAAGTAGTATAATCAATAGGTTGAGTATATATGTGTATACGTGTAACTGTATCCATTTATTGAATTTTAGTGCAACTTCTGCTTCCAGTAGTTTCACTTAATAGCCTTACTTTTAGAATAAAAGACTCCTGGCTCTAAAATTGCCGTAGGTCTGTTGTGATAAAAGTGAACACCTTTATGGTCAGAGCTTTGTCTAGAGTACAGTTGATTGGGAAGATTGTGTGCCAGGTTGTGTGTCGTGAAGACAAAGGCTGTCGTAGTAGCTCTGATGGGCAGGTGGCTGGAAGGTGAAAAGAAAGTGACCAGTCAGCTGTTGTCAATACAGGATTGAGTCTTTCAGTCAGCTCTTGGAGTGGCCTGGGGTTGAGATTGAGCGTTGGAAACCAAAATACCCTTCTCCATTTTGCTGATGGATTTAGAGGCTTTCCTTTAGGGGCTTACTTTTCCTTCACTACCCCCACCACAGAATTACTCAGAGCATGTTTTTTTTGTTTTTAATTTTTATTATTTATTTATTCATATGAAACAGAGTCTCACTCTGTGGCCCAGGCTTGAGATCAGTGACATGATCATGGCTCACTGCAGTTTTGACCTTCCAGGTTCAAGCGATCTTCTAGCCTCAGCCTCCTGAGGAGCCGGGACTGTAGGCACATGCCACCACGCCTGCCTAATTTCTTTTATTTTTTGTAAAGATGAGGCCTTGCTATGTTGCTCAGGCTTGTCTTGAACTCCTGGCCTCAAGTGAACCTCCCACCTTGGCCTCCCAATGTGCTGGGATTACAGGTGTGAGCCATCATGGTCAGACCTCAGTGCATGTTTTAATTCATGTATCGGAATTTACACACATAAGACATCTGTTATCTTAGAGTCTCCTTGGCCCCTTAGACCCTTCCTGATTGCATGGTTTCAGGCTATGGGTACAAACTGCGTTTAAAGGAAATTGTTTAAAATGAAGGAATGTATACTGGAATGTTCAAATATTCTAGTGAAATATCAGAATCCCAAATAAAATTATTCAGTCTAAAATGTAAAACAAAATGTATCATAAATGAAAAACTGTTTTAAAGTATATGAACAATGCTCAATATCATTAATTATCAGGGAAATGCCAATTAAAATAACAACAAAATATCATCTCACACCTGTCAGAATGGCTATTATCAAAAAGACAAAGGCCGGGCATAGTGGCTCACAACTATAATCTTAGCACTTTGGGAGGCTGAGATGGGAGGATCACTTGAGCCCAGTTGTTAGAGACCAGCAGCCTGAACAACATGGTGAGACCACGTCTTACTGTAGTCCTGGCGGCTCTGGAGGTTGAGGCTGGAGTACTGCTTGAGCCATGATTGAACCACTGCACTCTAGCCTGGGCCACAGAGCAAGACCGTGTCTTCAAAAGAAAACAACAAAAGATAACAAGTGTTGGCAAGAGGTGAGAAAAGGAAACACTTGCACACTGTTGGTGGGAATGTAAGTTAGTACAGCCATTATAGAAAACTGTATGGAGATTCCCAAAGAGCTTAAAAATAAAATTATCATATGGGCCAGCCACCTCACTATTTGATACACATCCAAAGGAAAGGAAATTTGTATGTCCAAGAGACATCCGCACTCTTGGACATACCAATTTCCTTATTTTATTTATTATATTATTTTATTTATTTATTATATTATTTTATTTATCCTGTTAATTGCAGCACTATTCACAATAGCCAAAATGTGGAATCAGCCCAAGTGTCTATCAACAGATGACTGGATAAAGAAAACGTAGCATATATACGCAATGGCATACAATTCACCTATAAAAGAGAAGGAAATCCTGCCATTCGTGACAACATGGGTGAACCTAGAGGACATTATGTAAAATAGGCCAGGCATGTGACAAATACCACATGATCTCGCTCCCATGTGGAGTCTAAAAACGTTGATCTCATAGAAGCAGAGAGTGCAGTGATGGTTTCTAGGGGCTGGGGCGCTAGAGGAAGGTAATGGGGACCTGTTGGTAAAAAGTTACAAAACTTCAGTTAAATAAGAAGAATATTTTTAAGAGCTCTATTCTACAACATGGAGGTATAGTTCATCACAATGTATTATATTCTTGAAAAATGCTAAGAGAGTAGATTTTAAATATGCTTATTACAAAAATAACAACTATGTAAGGTAATGTGCATATTAATTAGCTTAATTTAGCTATCCTACAATGTCCATATATTTTAAAACATCCTGTTGTACATAGTATGTATATACAATTTTATCTGTCAAATTTTAAAAAGAAAAAAGTGTTTTAAAATTTTCTACCAAATTATCTTGGAGGATTGTATGTAGACATCCTTTGAATAGATAAAGTATAAATTCCAGCAGTTCATCCTTCTAGAGGCTTTAATAGGACAGCTTCTTATTAACTATGCAAATGAGAGGCAATGTCTCTCTTATTCACAATGTTTCTACATGTCAAATTTGTACGGGGAAAAAAAATCTACTCAACTATTGGGATAATACAGTTTATCCTCTCCATCTCTTGCCCCAGAAATCTCCAGATATCTGAAACAAAATGACAAAAATTGTTTTCTATTTTTCTATTTTGCTTGAACAATGGCCTCATTCTCGACTTTGTGTGTGTTGACACTGTCCTTGTGCTCTGAGCAGTTGTGCATGATCAGCTGCACCAATTAAGAGAATCATTCCCCCAGCTTGGTAGTCAGAAATGCAGGGGAAGTTTAGAATGAGCCCTGGGGGAAGAACTCACATGTACAAATGAAATTATAGTAATATCAGTAGAGAGGATACCTGTTGTATTTTCTTTTTTTCTTAGTGCAAAAGGAATCTTAGGGGAACTGAACACCTGGTGAAATAGTTTGCTCAAATTCATTTAGCAATTTTTTTTCATTCCTATAGGGGAATTAGTAGAGTGCTAAAGGTTTTAAAGAATTCAGATGAAAAGCCATCTGTTCCCTGGGCTTTGTTCAATGTCAATTTAAGGATGGCTTTGGAGATTTCCTATTCCCTAATTAATTCCTCTAGATGAGCTCGTGGGGTTGGCTCAATTTATTTTTTGAAAGATGGAAAAAATGCTCCCATCAATTAGTCCTTTGTTATGTTGTGACTGAGATGGAAATAGCTTTTTGCCAAATGGAGCGAGGAGCTGAGAGATGCTTGTGTTTGCCGTGGCCAGGTGTCCTTTGTCATTAGGACTGGCTTTGATGTAAGTACCATTCTCTGGGCCTTTCAGATAATTGGTGAGAAAGCACCTGGCCTCGCAGAAATCTGAGTAATATTTAGCCTGAAGCACAAAGACAGGGAAACCAAAGCAGTGAACAGGAGTCATATTTTAAATAGAAAAAAACTGTTCTAATAATTTTTTGCATTACCACACGTAATGCATTTTAGTTGGAGGCTGTTTGAGTACTGTTCTCTAGAACCAGATTTTCTGTGTGGACAAGGACTAGGGGGCAGGGAAAGGGTTAACTGAGGGGTTTGGAGAAACAGAAAAGGGAAATAGAGAAAAAGAGGAGGGGGAAAAAGAGACACACGAGAGGAGAGGTGATGGGTGTCATGTAAAAGTGTACAGATCTGCCTGCTTAAATTCTATCTCCTCAAAGATTGGACCATTGAGCCAGTGGCTTGAGCAGGAATCTCCATCCAGGACAAGACACAAAGATGTTTGAGGCTCTCTGCTCTCACTCGTTGGGAGACTAGGCTCATTGGGAGTCTAAGGTCATTCTGCGCAGCATACTGAAAGAAATGATTTTCAAGGAAAAATGATGATCTGAGAGTATTATTTTTAGAATATTAACTAATGAGCTATCATCCTCCAATTGCCTTATTCCTAAGGTGTCTGACAATTCTGTACTGAGGTCATGTCTGGTTTACCTAAATCATAGGTTGTTTCACTAGTTAGGTTAAGCCTTGAACTTTAGTATGCCAGTGGGAAGGAGGGTATGACAGGGGAAATGCCAGCCAGAAAGGAATAGGATGGGAACATCCCAGAACTTCTGCCTGTGTGGATTGTCGGAAAGAGAAGGGAATCAATGAGGAGGGAGAGCAGCAGGTCAGATTCATGCAGTGCCTTTACATTCCTCTCTCAAATCTTGTAGGGTGTCTTTGTCAATCAGTTAAGGGAAAGAAAACAAGTGCAGTTACTGTTTTTCCTGTTTGGGATTTTGGGAATACACTGCCTCTCAGGATATCCCAGTAACAGGGTGATATATATTATTAGCAATGTGACCTGCTCTGTGTGTGTGTGTGTGTGTGTGTGTGTGTGTGTGTGTGAGAGAGAGAGAGAGAGAGAGAGAGAGGAGAGAGAGAGAAAGAGAGAGAGAGAACAGGCATGATGGAGTAGCAGCTGCAATTTCCGGCTTGTCTCATTATGGAGTGGAAGCCATTGCCGATGACAACTAGAGAGGAGGAACATCATGGTGTAGGAATAGAAACCTCTGTAGCCAAGAGTTTCAGGGTTTACTGCCTGGCTAAAATTGGGCAAGAATCATGGTCAGGCATCTGTGGGAAGGTTGCCAGCAAAAGCCAAGAAAGATCTAAGTCAGCAGGAGGGAACATCATTCTTTGACTAGGCTTAGAAAGCATGGATCACAGTCAGGAGCAGTTAACTATCACAGTAATGCTAGCCAGGCAAGCAATGAAAAGGCAGATACAAGACCTTATTGCCATAGTAGCTCCTGGATAGCCAGACATCATCACAGGACCCTCTCCTGCCAACACACACATGTCCTCATGTCAAGATGGAACACAAGAGCTCTCCCTCTGTTGGGGGGAGAAGAGAGGGAGATGGAACACAGAATGGCCAAATAGGAGCAGCTGTAAAATTAGAGAAAAAGAAGATATGACATTCACATCACGTTTAAGTTGACTTTTGTACATAAGAAAGATCAAACCAATTGTAAAAGCAATCACTTAAAATGCTCTGTTATCTCTGTCCATCTGTATGTAGTATAAGAAAATGTGTGACTCTACACCACAGGATCATTTCAAATATTGAGGAAATAAGATTGAGAAAAAAAGTTATTTGGAAAGAACAATTTTTTTTAAATTGAGGAATAAATAATTTTGAAAATTTTGCTTCAAAAGTTTTATTCACCACCCAGTGTCTTAAGATGAAATTTACATTTCTCCGCATGCCTCTTCAGAGCTTACAGACCTGTTCCTTGCTTGTCTTGCGTCTCTTTTTTTTTTTTAATTTTTTTTCTTTTTTTTAAATTTTATTATTATTGTACTTTAAGTTTTAGGGTACATGTGTACAATGTGCAGGTTTGTTACATATGTATACATGTGCCATGCTGGTGTGCTGCACCCATTAACTCATCATTTAGCATTAGGTATATCTCCTAATGCTATCCCTCCCCCCTCCCCCCACCCCACAACAGTCCCCGGAGTGTGATGTTCCCCTTCCTGTGTCCATGTGTTCTCATTGCTCAATTCCCATCTAAGTGAGAACATGTGGTGTTTGGTTTTTTTGTCCTTGTGATAGTTTGCTGAGAATGATGGTTTCCAATTTCATCCATGTCCCTACAAAGGACACGAACTCATCATTTTTTATGACTGCATAGTATTCCATGGTGTATATGTGCCACATTTTCTTAATCCAGTCTATCGTTGTTGGACATTTGGGTTGGTTCCAAGTCTTTGCTATTGTGAATAGTGCCGCAATAAACATACGTGTGCATGTGTCTTTATAGCAGCATGATTTATAATTTGTCTTGCGTCTCTTAACCACATTGCTTCCCTCCAAGCTCTTCCTCTCTGGCAGGATCCAGAGACTCGGGACATTTGTCTCTCCCAGTGCTCGCTGCTCTGGTGTTGCACACTCTGTTCCCTCTGCCTGGAACACCACTTATTTGTTTCTTATAAACAGGCAACCTCTCTCTCCCCACCTCCACTTGCAATCCCATGGGTTACCCGGTCTTCCAAGCATCTACCTACTGTTCTCCAGGGATCTTCCTTTTTTGGCATCATAGACCCATGTGACATCTGGTCATGATGATGAATCCTTCCCAATGTAGTGTTCTAAATGCATAAAATAAAGAAACTAAGCAAAGGGAACAGGTCCTATTGAAATAAACCTATCAAAATACTAGAGGAAATAAAATTTGATATATGAACATCTTTATTAATGTTTTAAGTGACAACATGTAGTGGTGGAACTAATAACCTCTCTAATTTCAACGTGATAATAAGCATAAATGATGTTTAGATATATTTCCTATAGTTGTGATGTGGTGTGAAAATATCTATAATTTCTATTCTGTGATCACATATTCTGCTGCTACTGTGGTTTGTTGCCTACAGTCATTACAGAAGGAAATGTTAAGTTTTAGTTAGTTATTGAAAATAAAGATGTAATATTTTTCTTAATCCAACTGCATGGCACTAGGTGAGGAGCCCCTGATTTTTTCACCTGCGCTTCCTGACCCCACAAGTCTAGATTAAACTGTTTCTCTGTCCTCAAGGCATGCAGAACCACTCCTTTCTTACCACATAGCACCCTAGATTGGAACCATTTGTTTATCATCTAAGAACTGTCACTAGATGTTAAGCTTTATGAAGGCAGATTTATCTGGTCATGATGTCCTTATGTTCAGCACTACTGAAATTCAGGAGAAGGTTCCCCATGTAGAACTGTGGCATTACATTGAACCTTTATTTGGTCTGATCATGTTTTAAAAGTATACATAATCTTAGCCCTCAGTTCCACACATCATGGCATTTTAAAATAGTTTTTCACATTTAAATCACAGATTCTGTTTGTAAAGACATGTTGAAAATATCTTAGACTGCCTTTAGACGTTTATGTAAATAATGTAAATGATGTCAGCTCGACGACAATATTTATTATCAACTCATTGATAACAACAATCTGGATTATATTCACTAATTCATTTAATCACCATCAATTTGGAATATTTGCCCCTTGGATGTGACATTACTGAAGGTGAGACTTTGGGTAAGTGACAACAGCACAAACAAGAGCAAAAACTCAGAAGTGCTCACATACAGGTCTGCAGGAGCAGCACTCACTGGACAAACTCACCGCCCTAGGATCAGTAGTAGGTATTCATATCCCCTGGTAGCCTCATTGTGTTGAGGCAGTAACCTAAGATTTGGAAAACCCTGATTTCTGACTTTGCAAGAGTGATTCTGACCCTTGGGCCATGGAGCTCTGAAGCTGCATGGTTAGGGAAGCACTGGCCTTCTCCTGGTGTTATCAGGGACCAGGATATGATAGCAAAATGATGTGGCAGAAACTGCGCCCCTCTTCTACCAGCTTAGTAGTGATGACTGGCAGTGGAGGGAGGCACAAGTTCCTGTCCTGCTTTCATGATTCCAGAAGTTGAAATTGCAGGTGGATTACGTGGTGAACTAGCAGAGAGGTGTTCTTGTTAGTAAGCTAGCAACAACACTGGTGTTCTTGGTTCTTGAAGCATAAACCTCTCCTCTGGCATATTGAGGGTGGGAGGAGGAAGAGTTGGGGTTCAAGCTTCAATGTTGCTCAGTATTGATTGGCTTAAAGATTGCTCAGAGTGGGTTTCCCACAGAACATTGCAGAAGGAAAATTCCCTTTCTGAGAAGCCAGGCTGCAGGGGTCAGTCTTGGACAAGTTAGCCCCTATCTCTCAACTC
Organism: Homo sapiens; assembly: GCF_000001405.40. NCBI lineage: Eukaryota > Metazoa > Chordata > Mammalia > Primates > Hominidae > Homo > Homo sapiens. The sequence goes on along the minus strand of NC_000020.11, from coordinate 7,699,191 downwards.
TTAACTTATCACTTCCTAAATTTTGTCTCCTTTAAAGATAGGGATGTAATGACAAACTTTTCTAGAACCGTTGGAAAAAGTAAGTTAAATAATGCATATAAAACCCTTAGCACGACTCTTGGCAGGTAATTAGAACTCAAATTTTATTATTATTTTTCTATAACAGTTCATACAATATTGTTGAGGACTTGCTTACAATATTTAAGAAAATTACAATATTTAAGAAAATCAGACTTTCTTCAAGTGCCAAGATTTTTTAGAATACTGTATCAATCTTTTCTTTTCTCTCTTGAGAGTCCAACTTCCTAAGTAGTATATTTAGGTTCCGTATGTATTACTCTGTTCTCTATTGGTTTCCTATGTATGTTCTGATTTCCTAACTAGATTGTACAATTTATACTTCTGCCATGCCTCTCACCCCTGGATCCATACCTTTGTTTAGACCAGAGAACAAAGAAGTTCAGCAGATATATATTTATGATTAGGATAGATATAAGTCTCTTAAAATAGATTCCTTGAAGAAAAGCCAAGGAGATATTCTGCTATATAAATTTGGTATATTTCATTTGGGTTTTGGAATACACTTTAATATATTTATACATTTCAAATTACATTTTTCCAACTATTTGGTGTTTTAGTCCATCATACTACTACAACAAAATACTGTAGGCTGGGTAATTTATAAAGAAGAGAAATTTATATTCTCACAGTTCTCAAGGCTGGGAAGTCTAAGTTCAAGGTGGTGGCAGATTTGGTTTTCTGGTGAGGGCTGATCCCTGCTTCCAAGATGACACCTTGTTGCTGCATCCTCCCAATAGCAGGAAGGCTCTGTCCTCACATGGCAGAATAGCTGCAGGGTAAGCGAACAGAACACTGCGTGAAGCCTCTTTTGTAAGGGTCATAATCCCATTCATGAGAGAAGGAGTCCTCATGACTGAATCACCTCTTAAAGGGGCCACCGTTTAATATCATCACGTTGACCATTAAGTTTCAACACCTACATTTTATAGGGGACACATTCAAACCATAATATTTGGTCTTTTTACTAATCCCAATAGTCACAGCTTAATTTGTTACATTTTTACAAATATTTTTCTTATTAAAGTTAAACATGCAATGTCATGTTTAATACTTCTCCAGAGATATATTTAACTTGCCAGACTTTAACAGATTCACATCAATGGCTTCTTCTTTTTTTAATCTTATTCAAGGAATCTAACAATTTTTTTAAAGGTGCTGCATCCCACCTCTTTTTCCTCTTCCCTGTGTGGAAGGATGCTGTCAACTCACATCAGTGATGGTCCTGAAATTGACAATCACGGATACGTTTCTTCTCTCACGAGTCCTTTTTCTAGGAAGTGTCTACGCTTCCGACCATGTCATTTCCATGCCACTGCACCCCAATCTACTCAGGCAGATATGGCTCTCACGACACCTAGTCCTTCATTCTGCCAGCTGATCTGCAAATCAGTTCCTCTTGTGACATCTAGATTAACGGAATTGATTCACCTACCTGGAAATTTACCAAATACTTTCCATATGCATAATTGTTCATGTCTTCTTTCCTCTATCTTCTGAATAAAACTAGTAACTCTTTAAGAGATCTAGTTCCAAAATTCCAGTTCTTCCATTTTTTAGCTTGATGGCCGTCAGCAAACTATTTAATTTTCTTGCAGCTCAAAGTTCTCATCTTTAAATTTTTATAAACACGTACCTCATTTTTGTTATCTGGAGATGAAATGAGAACATGTATAAATTCTCCTAGATCAAATATTAAAAAAAAATCACACTTACATATCCCCTCCTCCACCCTCAGCCTTATCCCCAGTAAAATTTTTTATATCTTATCTGCTGCAAAATATACCACTATGATTGGTGAGACACGTTAGTCCTTTTTTTATAACTTCGATTATACTCCCGACATTACCTTATTCTTGGCAATATTAATGTAGCTTGCATATAAATGTTTTCATACTTTTCTCTCTCTTTACCCCCTTCACACTCTGTTTCCTGGGGATAGAGAAAAGGTTAACAAATAAAATGGAAAATGAAAAGAGAAAGAAAGTGTAGGGAGAAAGAGGGAGAGAGGAAGGAAAAGAAAGAGAGAGCCAACACATTATGGACACCGTGGTGCATAGAAAGAGTGTGTGTATTTGTTAGTGGAGATTAGAGATATGGGTTGGAGTAGACAGTGATAAAAGAGGAGGAGTATTCAGGGTGACCTAAAGTCCTGGTTTGCCTGGGACTGAGGGGCTTCTCGGGACGCAGGACATTCAGTGGCAAGCATAATGAGTTGGTCACTTTAGGTGGAACGGAAGTACAGCAGGCCAAATTCAATAACTAGAAACTAAATCAGAAGGCAATGAGTTGGTTGTTTTGGAGAGTGGATTCAGACACTCAAACCACTGGTTGTTAAAACATTTCTTAATACTAAAAGGAAAAATTATGGTAAATCCTTTAAGAATGGAAGCCAAAACTAATTTCCATAAAAGGGGACCTGAAGATGAAAGAGGGAGCTCTCCCTGACTGTGGTCAAAGAACCACTGTCACCAAAGTGTGAGGAGCAAGCACACTGAGGCCAGAATACCAGAATAATCAGGCCAGAGTAAGAGTAAGGTACAGTGAAGACCCAGAGAGTCAAGTCCAAGTCATTGCTCCATTTGTGAGTCAACCCTGAGGACCAGTTACACACAGGGCAAACACTCAGGCGAGGTCATGAATGCTATTCTTCCTGATTTCTGGTGCTGCTTATCAGAAAAAAAACAAATTAGTGTCAACCTTCTTCATCACCACTGATAGGGCCTTCTTGATTTACCTGTGGCATTATCACAGTCTCAGTCTTTGCCACAAACATTAATTTCTTAATATAAAACTGCTACAGACAAAATGAAAAATGTCTCTGGAGAAGAATTTTAATATTTCTGATCCAAAGGCACAAGGAAAAGCATGGTACTTATGAATCTGAAGTCAGGGTTTAAAAGTCCTCAAATCCCTTGGAAAAGGATCATTTTCGGCTCTGTTTGTTTTTTTCCATGAAAGAATAATGGTAATTTTTAAAAGGATTTTCAAAGCATGCGGTGATATCATCAAGTGAACAAGCTAGAAGGCCTAACATTAAAAACCCGTAGAATGATCTTGAACTATCATTAGTGCTGGAGGCAGGCCTGTGATCTGCTTGAACTGCTTGCCTTTGCTTCCAGTTCTGATACAGATTTTAGTTTATTTTTTCAATATCAAAGAGCTGATAGAACTGGGGAAATCCAGATTCCTTTCTCTAAGTCACTGGCCTCATGACAAGCTATATTAGACATGCCCTTGTGGTGAGGGGATTAAAATATTACTAGCTTTGTTTTGAAACAGTGACACAGAGTGTGTTTTTGGAATCTTTCTGAGGTGGTTTGGGACCTCAACTTGCCTGGTAACCACAGCTTCTGGACTAATCCAACTCACAGTTTGGGAATTTCCAAAGTGACTATTAACAGGGGGCCTTGGTTTATGTAACACTGTCTGTTCTAGTCTACAGCTTGCCTTCTAACAGGTGAGCAGACCCTTTCTTTAAACAGCAGGTGGGGGACTTATTTATATTTCACCTCCAGACAGCAAATTTGGAGGGCATTTCTTATGCCAAAGCTTCTCTAACTTTAATGGACACCCAGGTCACAGAATCTTCTGGAAACCTTGCTGAATAGTTAAGCAAAGCATTTCCAATCCGGTGATGGTGCTGCTATGAGTCCACAAACGATTCTCTGCAAAATAAAGTGTGCTTGTGGCAGGAGAGTACCATGTGTTTTCAGGACACTCAGAATTTATGAGTCTAATTTGTCCTTAGGGACCAGTGCAGCAACGTCAAATCAAGTAAATGTCTTTGGCTCTAATAAACTTGTCTGAATTTATGTATTATGAAAATGCCTCTGGAGATCATTTTCTTCATGACATTTATGATACTCTGTTAGAGTTTTGTGGTATCTCTCCTCTGCTACTCAATGTGATAGTGGGTGTTGCACATTTGATTCGCTGAGCTAAGTTTTGCTATCCTTGCTTATTATTACACAGAGGAATTGGTAGTTCACGGTCTGACTCAACACATGGGCTTCCTAATACTCTATCTAGAGAGGAATAGGTACAAAATACCCATCCTCAGATTAAACAAAACAGATGGCTCTTATTCAAAGAAACTCTTACTCAAATGGAATGAACATTTAAATAAATGTGGTTATTGCTGCGAAGAGAATATAAAATGAAAATTAAAAAGTGGAAAGCATATATTCAAAGCCAAAGCCAATGAGTTAAAACAGTGGCCCTGTTTCCTCTTTATTCTAACTGGTCTCATGAAGAAAGCACCCCAGAGAGCCACCCACCGTGACACCCACCCTGAGCATTAAGGCATAGGAACTGGGTTGAAATACTTTTAGATGAGAAGCAGGAGTCTTCAGATGTAAAGAGTTAGAATTTACACACTTTATTCCCTGTGTGGAGGGTGTGTTTCTGACAGCTGAATGTGGGCTGAACTTTGTCTAGTTTCTTTAAGTCACATGATCACTTGGAAATCATTTCTTTTCTTTTTTTTCAATAATTTAGTTCACAGCTATTCCCAACAGCTGAGACCTGTCAAATATTACTGAATTTAAAGGAATCGCTTAATGCCAGCCTTCATCCTCTCCTAATTCACTGTGGTGGTTAGTAGCAGGCTTTCAGATTTGCCATTTTCCTTCAATATATAATGGAGTGGAAAGCTGCTTCATAGCAAGGCTTATTACTCTATTTCTGTGTAGTTGTTAATCAGAGGACAAATGAACACTCACTAGAGCCTTCTGTTTGCACATAAAATAAGAGTCTTGTGGTCATGAGTGTTTTCGCGCTAACCAAAATAGAAACCCAAATGGAACAGAGGGCATGGGGGTTATTTAATTGTATATAATTCCATGATAAACCTATGTGAATATACCTCTTGAATATGAATTAATTTTTTATCTTCTTCATGCAAAGGTGATCAATTTCAGTTTCTAAGTTTTTCTCATCCACTCACCAGCCATTTCTCCCTTTTCCATGACTCCAACTTCTAGCTGAACAACAGAAGAGTTGAATCATAAAAGAAGAGTCCAAAAAAACTTTTATTTGTTTGAAGAAAATTCTTTCCATGTGTTCTGCTTCTTCCTTTGCTAATTTGGGTCATGTGCTTTTCTTTAGTCATCTATCCCAGGCAGAGAATGGCCTGGGTCCCCCTCCCCTCACCACAGAGAGGTCTGGAGGTCTACAAGTGGTAACTGAAGACTGCTGGACTCACCACATCCTACAAAAACTGTAATAGCTGCTTTAGGCTAAGAGGTTCCACTGGAATTTGAGGCTAAGAACACAAAGTAAGCCAAAAAACTAAAAGGGCTGCAAGGCAGGACTTGTGTTGATTGAAGGAGAGAAGGAAAAGGAGGAGGGAAGAACAAGAAAGAACCAATATCAAGAGTACAGAGTATAGGCCAGGAGAAAGCAAGAGAGCTTCATGTTTGCATAACAATTTGTGTTCTGCACACCTGGAGAAAAAAGATGTAGTTTCATATTAAGGATAAAATCAAACTATTAGTGCAGATTGCTACTTCTGAAGATAAAATTGCATGTATGTTAGGTAAACAGAACGACTAACCTGCAAAAGTTCAGAATTCACCCAGGTTTGTACCTAACTTCTATATGACCTGCTCTTTTAAAGTCTGGGGGAAATAGAGGGTTTCCCTATAATTTTCTACTTTATTTTTAGGGAAACTGGATAATGCTTTTTGGAAGCCATGCTTAACTTTTTTCAGTGATTTTTCTCTGCAGATCTCATGAAACATTCATTGCCTGTGCTACTTTTTGGCCATAATTCAAGGTCCATTGTGATGTACATTGTTGTACTCTTTTCTAGTATTTTTTTCTTAGTCCTTGCATTCTTATTTGAATTTTGTTCTAGTTTTTGAATTTTATTTTTCTTTGTGACTAGAATAATTTGTTTTAAAATATGTCTATGTGTTCTTTTATATCCTCATTTGGAGGCAATCTACATTCCCCCTTGCATTGAATCTAGGTGGGCTTGTGATTGCTTTGATTAACAGAATACAGCAAAAGTGATAACTTATTACCAAAAACACAGAGCTGGAAAACCACAATCTGCTTCCAACAGTGTATCATAAAAGACCATGTAGACTTAGCCTTGTTTGCTGGTCAGATTCACTCTTGGTGCCCTGAAATACTGTGTTTAAAATTCGGCCAACCTGACACCACAATGCTGCAGCAGCCACCTGCAGGTATTTCAGTTGATAGTCCTTGCTGTGTTGGTCCTTTGGTTATCACAATGCAGGCACAGATCTGTGCATGAAGATGTTATGTTGAAAGACTATCCTCCAGCCACAGCCTTTACAGTTAGCCTAGCTGAGGCCCCATACACCATGAAGCAGACAAGCCATAGTTACCACACCTCTCTGTAAGCATAATGCAATGGTTGTGGTTTTACAGCACTATGTATTTAGGTAGTTTGCTACATAGCAATAGATAACTGGAATGCAAGAGAAAAACTCATAAAAAGTACATTTTTCATTGACTTGAGGGTAGTTTCAGCCAGTAATTATTGGGTAGACTTGAGGGTGAGAGTAGGAGACAAACCAAGATATTTATCTCTCTCTCTGTGCGTCAGGCAATGTCTTGTGTGACTGTCTCTTTTATGGTTCCAGCTCCTGGCAGGTTGTCCTTGAAGTGGTTTTAGCAACTACCTGGAGAGGCCAGCTCCTGGTCTCTAGGAAAAACCTCTTTCCTCTGACTACTTCATCCTAGTGTTACCAGAAAGGGGTCCTGATCCAGACCCCAAGAGAGGGTTTTTGAACCTTGCGCAGGGAAGAATTTGGGATGAGTCCACAGAGTGAAGTGAAATCAAATTGATTAAAAAAGTAAAGGAATAATGAATGTCTGCTCCATATGCAGAGCAGGCGCAGCGTTATGGGCTGCTCAACTGAGTATACTTATAGTTATTTCTTTATTATATGCTAAACAAGTGTGGATTATTCATGAGTATTTTGGGAACGGGATGGGCAATTCCCAGAACTGAGGTTTCCTCCTCTTTTTAGACCATATAGGGTAACTTCCTGACATTGCCATGGCATTTGTAAACTTAGACCATATAGGGTAACTTCCTGACATTGCCATGGCATTTGTAAACTGTCATGGCACTGGTGGGAGTGTGTTTTAGCATGCTAATGTATTATAATTAACATATAATGAGCAGTGAGGAAGAACAGAAGTCACTTTCATCAGCATCTTGGTTTTCGTGGGTTTTGGCTGGCTTCTTTACTGCATGCTGTTTTATCTGCAAGGTCTTTGTGACCTTTATCTTATGCTCCTATCTCATCCTATGACTAAGAATTCCTAACCTCCTGGGAATGCAGCCCAGTAGGTCTGAACCTTATTTTACCTAGCCCTGATTCAAGATGGATTCACTCTGGTTCAAATTCCTCTGACAGTAGATGTTGTCTGTTATTGTTCATCTCTGAATTGCCCTCCTGTCCCCTCACTTACCTTTCAACTCTCTTTTTAAGCTAGTTGCCAATATTTGTTTTTTTGTTTTGTTTTGTTTTGTTTTTTCTGTTAAACTACTTTTTTGCCTCACTGGCTCTTGTTGATACAGGCTTCAAGTTATATTTCTTTACATACTCAACTGAACACAGAAAATATGTAACTGATTTTAGTTGGTTCATTATATACATACCAGTCTGCAGAAAAGTCATCCTAATGAGGTGGGATTGGAGATTCCCTTGTAGTATCAAGTTGACTGTAATCCTTCCAGAAGTCTACCATCACACTTACACTTGAGTATGATTTTATAAGAACTCCTGTGCGCTCAGTCAATTCCCTTGAAGGAGCAAATTGACAAAAGTTTTAATGAGTCACTCTTTGATATGGAAGAAGGTTATTTGAGCCACTGTTCTCTAACTGGTGCTTCCAGCTTAACCTTTGATTTTTTTTGAAGGCAAGAGAATGGGAAATATATTAGAAGTTAATACATAGCACAGGTTTATAACTGCTCTGCTTCAGCTATAGGACTTACTCATCTCATTGGTATCTATTTAAAAAAAACTTAGATCTTATAAAAATTTATCTATATATCTATATTATATGAAATTGTGATTGAGGCAGATAAGATATCCATGGAAAGTTTGATTCCTTCTAACCTCAACAGATTAGCTAATATATGGAAAGTACTATGAAAGTAGCTTGAATGACCTGTTATAGTAACACAGATTCAAGAGTAAATGTCCCCTTTTCCATCCTGTAGTATTACATTTGCTGTAGTGGGCTGTAGTCATAGATCTGTAAGACCTGCCAGGTAACCATGTTTGAATTACTTATTTTATTTTTGATCCATGAAGTCCATATGTATAAAGTGAAAGCTTAGTGTATTGGGTCATTCTTGCATTGCTATAAAGAAATATCTGAGACTGAGTAACTTATAAAGAAAGATGTTTAATGGCCTCACAACTCCACATGCTGTACAGAAAGCATGATGCTGGTATCTATTTGGCTTCTTGGAAGCCCACAGGAAACTTACAATCATGGCGGAAAGTGAGGGGGAAGCAGCACTTCTCATGGTCAGAGAAGGAGCATAAGAGAGAGGGAGGAGGTGCTACACACGTTTAAACAACCAGATCTTGCAAGAACTCACTCACTGTCATGACAACAGCACCAAGAGGATAGTGCTAAACCATTCATGAAGGATCTACCCCACGATTCAATCACCTCTAACCAGGTCCCACTTCCAACATTGGGGATTAAAATTTGACATGAGATTTGGGTGGGGACATGGATCCAAACCACATCATTTGGACTTACCCCTCAGATCACTTTAACTTAAACATTCTGAATCATTCAGTCTTAATACCTGATTTCATGCTTTTTCCAAGGTGGCCTCCTTCCTTATTGTTGTTATTTTTTAACATTGTTTCCTTATGCAAATAAAGCAATACATTCATTGCTGTCTTAGTTCATTTTGTGCTGATACCAAAATGCTACAGACTAGGTAATTTATAATGAAACAGAAATTTATTTCTCACAATTCTGGAGGCTGGGGTTTCCAAGATCAGTGTGCCAGCATCTGGTGAGGGCTTTCTTCCTGCAGTCTCACATGGTAGAAGGAAAAAGGGCAAGAGAAGACCAACTCCCTCTCTGAAGCCCCTTTGTAAGGGAACCTAATCCCATTCACGGAGGAAGTGTCATCAGGGCATTAGGCCCTGCCTGCCAATACTATCACATTGACAACACATGGATTTTGGAGAGAACACTTTCAAACTATAGCATTCTTCTCCTGCTCCTCAAGATTTATGTTCCTCTCCCATACAAAATACTTTCATTCCACCCCAATGGGTCTTAACTCATTCCAACATTAAATTCTAAGCACAAAGTCTCATCTAAATCAAATATAGGTGAGACTCAGGGCACAATTCATGCTGAGGCAAATTTTCCTTCAGAGGAAAGCCTGTGAAGTCAAACAAATTATGTGCTTTCAAAAGACACTGGTGGGATAGGCATTCACATTCCCAAAGGCAGAACTAGGAAAGAGGAACGAAGTAACAGGTTCTAAGTAAATCCAAAATCTAACAGGGCAAGCAACATTAAATCTTAAGGCTTAAGGATTCTCATCATTGATCTTATGTCCCACTTTTCAAGCACACTAGGGTGGTGGTTCAGCCCCCAAAAACTTGGGTAGCCCTGCCTGATGGCTTTGCTGAAAACGTTTCTTACTTCAGCTTTCATGCATCGAATTCGCATGCCTGTGGCTTTCCCAGGCTGGCACTACATGCTTGTGGCTCTACAGTGCTGGGGTTTGGGGGCAGCTCCACATTCATAGCTTCATTTGGCATTGCCTTAGTTGGGATTCTTCATCATCCCTTGAAATCTAAGTGGAAAAAGTCATACCTCCAACACTCTTGCTCTCTGTGCTCCTGCAGAATTAGCACCATGTGGATGCTACCAAGGCTCACCACTTGTACCCTCCAGAGTGGCAGCCTGAGCTGCACCTGGGCTTGCTTGAGCCACATTTGGAGTGCCCAAAAGGCATGGTGCTAGAATGTGGAAAGCTGAGCTCCTTGGCAGCAATTGCAGTAAGCCCTGAGGTCCCTGGGTTCCCTGGATCCATGTGTTTAAATCATTCCGCCCTTAAGTCCCTAACACTGTGGGCCTGTGATGGAAAGGACAACCTGAAGACCTCTAAAATGCCCTTGGGGCCATTCTCCCATTGTCTTGATGAATAACACTTTGCTTTCTTCTATCCATTCTAATCTCAAATGGTCACTTGTCCACACTCTTTGTTTTCTTTCCTAAACACTCTTTTTCACTCTTCACATATGGCTAGGCTGAGAATTTCCCAAATCTTTACGTATGGTTTCCCTTTTAATTATAGATTCCATCTTTAAACTATTTCTCTCTTCTCCTCGTTTACTATAAGCAGTTAAGAGAAGCCATGAGGCACCATGAATTGTTTGGTGCTTAGAGATTTCTTCCAGCAAACATCCTAGCTTATTGCTCTTAAGTTCCGCCTTCCTTAAGTCCTGGAACTGGACATAACTCAGCCAAGAGTTTAGCCACTTTGTAACAAAGATGACCTTTCCTCCAGTTTTCAATACCTTGTTCCTCATTTTCATCTGAGACTTCATCAGCATAGTTTCCATTGTCAGGACCTTTCTTAAGTAAGAAGATTTAGGCTTTCTTCTTCTGAGCCCTCACCAGAATCACTTTTAATGCTTTATTCTTGTCAAAAGATATTTTCTCCAGTGTTCACTCAGAGACTGTTCTAGTCTCTATCTATTACCCAGTTTCAAAGCCACTTCCAGCATTTTCATTATTTATTATAGCAGCACCTCACTTCTGACACAATTTTTGCCTTAGTTTCTTCTGTGCTGCTATAACAGAGTACCATCGACTAGGTAATAAAGAACAAAAAATTATTTCTCACAGTTCCAGTGGCTGCAAAGTCCAAGATTAAGGATTCAGCATCTGGTGAGGGCTTTCTTGCTGCCTCTTCACATGGCAGAAGGCAGAAGGGCAAAGGACCAAATCTATAGATTCATTGCAATCCCTGTCAAAATGCCAGTATCATTTTTTCACTGAATTAGACAAAATCAATTCTAAAATTTATATGAAACCAAAAGAGAGCCCAAATAATCAAAGAAATCCTAAGCAAAAAGAACATAGCTGGAGGCATCACATTACCTGGCTTCAAATTATACTACTACAAGGCTATAGTAACCAAAACAACAGGGTACTGGTGTAAAAATAGACACATAGATCGGCAGAACAGAATAGAAACCACAGAAATAAAGCCACATATCTACAGTCAACTGATCTTTTACCAAGATGACAAAAACATACACTGAGGAAAGGGCATCCTTGTCAATAAATGGCGCTGGAAAAATTGAATTGCCATATGCAGAAGAATGAAACTGGACCCATATCTCTCACCATATACTAAAATTAACACACAATGGATTAAAGACTTAAATGTAAGTTCTAAAACCATAAAAATACTAGATAAAACCAGCAAAAACTCTTTTGGATATTGGTCTAGGCAAGCAAGACTAAGACCTCAAAAACACAAGGAACAAAAACAAAAATAGACAAATGGAACTGAAAAAGCTTCTGCTCAGCAAGAGAAATACTTAACAGAGTGAACATACAACCTGCAGAATAGAAGGAAATATTTGCAAAGTATGCGTCTGACAGGTACTGATATCTAAAATTTACAAGAAACTCAAACAACTCAACAACTACAACAAAAATAACCCCATTAAAAAGTGGGCAAAGGACATGATAGACAGTTTTTAAAAGAAGACATGCAAATGGCCAACAGGCATCTGAAAAAATGCTCAACATCACTACTCATAAGAGAAATGCAAATTAAAACCACCATGAGATATCATCTTACACCAGTCAGAATGGCTATTATTAAAAATTCAAAAAATAACAGATGTTGGCAAGGATGCAGAGAAAAGGGAATACATTTGCTATTGGTGGGAATGTAAATTAGTACAACCTCTATGGAAAACAGTATGGAGATTTCTCCAAGAACTAAAAATGGAGTTAGTATTCAATCCAGCAATCCCACTACTGGATATTTACCCGGAGTAAAAGAAATTGTTGAGTAAAAAAGATATCTGCACTCATAAGTTTATTGCAGTACTAACCACAACTGCAAAGATACGGAATCAACCTTAGTGTCCATCAATGGATGATTGGATAAAGAAAATGTGGTGTGTGTGTATATATATACATATATACACACATACATACACAACATATATATATATATATATATATATATACACACATACATATACAACGGCATACTAGTCAGTAATAAAAAAGAATGAAATCATGTCTTTTGCAGCAACATGGATGGAATTGGAGGCTGTTACCTTAAGTGAAACAACTCAGAAATAGAAAGTCAAATACTACATGTTTTCACTTATAGGTGGGAGCTAAATAATGTGGACACATGGATGTAGAGTGTGGAATAATAGACACTGGAGAGTCAGAAGGGTGGGAGATTAGGTGAAGGGTGAGGGATGAGAAATTACTGATAGGGTACAAGGTATGCCGTTTGGGTGATAATTGCACTAAAAGCCCAAACTTCACCACTATGCAATGTATCCACATAACAAGATTGCTCTTGTACCAATTAAATGTTTACAACTTATTTTTTTTTTAAAAAAAGAATAGCAAAAGAGAACTAAGTCTTTCAATGAAGACCTTTCATAAAGGCACCTAATCCCATCCACAAGGGAGGAGACTTCATGGTTTAGTTAAGTTTTAAAAGACTCAGCCTGTTGATACTGTTACATTTACCAACACCTGAATTTTGAAGGAGACATATTCAAATCATAATAGTCAGATGTGTCATTCATGGAAAGCTGGATTCCTTCTAACCTCAGCAGTTTAGTTAACACATGAAGGCAGCTTGAAAGAACCATTAGAGTGGCACAGATTCAAAAGCAAATGTCCTCTTTTTTAGCCTGTTTTCTTAAGCTTGCAGAACTGGGCTGTAGTCATGGGTCTGTAAGACCTGCTACATAACCCTGCCTGAATCACTTAGTCTTTTTGGTCCACGAAGTCCATATGTATAAAATGAAAGTGTTGTATTTGCCCCTTATATCACGTCAGGTGGAATATTCTGATCATTTCCTCTAAATGCTTCATTGTATGCGCTTTCCCAGGCAGCTTCTTCATTTGTCATTGCTGTTTTTCTTAAAACATTATGAAATCATTGCTTCTAAAGCAAAAGAAGGAATGAGATCCCTGATACAGGATGTTGAATTACAAGCAACTTTATCATAGTTGCATCCTACCTTCATTTGCACCTAAATCTGATGTTATAGTGAATGATGGAGTAAAGCAACCCCAGGATGGGGCCCTTCCCTATCTGTGACTATTTAGATTTGGTTTGGAGCCTCCTGTAAGGTATAGATGACAGCCAACCCTTCTTATAGTTTATTAAATCTACACAACACTGATTTTTAAAAATATGATTGTTAAAGGACTTTTCCATTGAAATCCATTACAATTTTTTACAACAGTAGCAATGCAGCATGAGAGCTACATTTGTGTGGGTAACTGAATGAGTAAGGTATAGATCACAGCCTATACTTCCTATAGTTTATCAAATATATACAACATTGATTTTAAAAAATACGATTGTTAAATGACTTTTCCATTGAAATTCATTATATTTTTTTACGACAGGAACAATGCAACATGAGAGCTACATTTGTGTGGGTAACTGTATGAAATGAACTTACTTTTCCCACCTTATTCCTAAGACTAAGAAAGCAAAACTAATTCCTTCCATTGATCACCAGGATGCCCATGAAAATTGGAAACCTCAAATGATCTTTGGTAACTATTCTGCCTTTCTCTAAATAAACAGCCTTCCCAGTAGCCCAAAGGCCCTAGGTTTTATAGAGCATTTGAAGACTCAAGTTAATACTTGTGGGTATGTCTTACTTTGTTTGTCATTATTCTTATAGTGAGAGTTCTGCAGTGATAATTTGGAGGGCAGAGGCAGCTTATAAACAATGGTTTAGGGCCTTTTTCATGTTTGTGGACCTGTTTTCATTGACCAAAGAAGATTATCTCTGGAGTTGAACCAGATGAGTTTAAATCCTTATTTTTTCATCCCGCTATGAGATCAGGTTTTTAAACTCTCTGATTATTTTGGGATTTTTACCTACAATTTTTAATAAGCATTATGGAAAGAGAGATGTATGTATGGTGTAGTGCCTCAAGCATAATGTCAGCTCATGAAAGACATTTAATATTCATTGTTGCTTTCTTGTTCCTCTCAGAAAGTGGATACCAGAAAACTCCCTAGCACATATTTTCTTTGCATAAAATACATAGTAAGGGGTATATCCTCCAAAAATTAGAGTAATATAGAGAGGACAAGAGGGCAATTGAATGTGATGACCAAAAAGTTACCATTGTGTGAAGTTCATTTTGGCAGTAGAATTTTGGAGCTTACTTTATTTTGTTTATTTTTCAATTTTATCTTTAATTTATTTAAATAAACCTACTGTCATTAATTTTTTGCAACAAGATGACCAGATATATGAAACTTGAACTTGAGATTCCTAGAAGATAATCATGCTGATGTCTTTGAAAACTGTGATTTTTAAAAAATCTTTTAAAAGATGTATTTTCTTGATTTTTTTTCTTAAAAAGAATTGTATTCAATGAACTCCTAAGAGTTATGTGTCAAAGGTACTATATAAGAGCAGTGACATGTCCCATTAATATTTTTATCTTCATTTTCTTTTCATACATAAGCACTTTTCTCCTGAATACTATCATTTGTGTAGCTTGTATGTACTACTTTAAATACTGTAATGCTATTCAGCTAACATTGGCAGGGGTAAACTTCTGACCTAACTATAGGTATTTTTTATCAAAATATATTTTCAAACTTTGCTAAGTGCTTCTTGGTGGTAAATGTGTCAGGCAAGTGAGTCTTAGTCTCAGCTGACCTTGGGGCTCTGTGGCAGTCTTTGAAAGACTGTAAAGCAAGTCTTCACATCTCCAAATAGCTTTGAGGCAATACTCGTAGGCACACAGACCAAATGGATTGTGGAGCATTTAAGAGATCCAAGACACCAACTACAACATTTTATAGATACGAGCTTAGAGGCCTATTATATGTTGATAACATAGCTTATTAGTGGTAACAATCTTGGGTCCAAATCCAACAGTTTCCATTTGAGAGTTGCAGTAGTTTCAGAAAGTTACTGAACCTCTTTAAAACACACTTTTTCAAAGAATAAAGTCGTTGCTCAAAGTCAAATGGTATAGTTATTATCTCCGTTGTACAGTGCAGAAAATAAAGTTGTATTGTAAAATTTGTCCTACCTTTGTACCCTACCATTCTTGATGCCAAAACAGACACGGATGCCTTCCAATGTAATGAATATTGGTATGTTCATCATAGTATTTGTTCACAGTTCTTACTTATTTCCCACTCTGTGGGTGGTATGTACTTCCTCACTTCATTGTCTTGGGGGCACATGACTTGCCGTAACCAATGAAATGTCAGTTCTGAATGGAAGTTAAATACCTTAAATACTAGATACTATGTCTGACTTGAGGGTTCAAGCCAGATGGGGTGATAACAAAAATATATCCAAATCTAAGAGAGTATTTTCACTTGATAAGGACAAAGGTTAGTATAATTTCAAGTCTGGTGCTAATCTGCGTAAATACTATCCTTATTGAAAGTTGAAAGTGTGTTGCACCTTATTGTAACCACCCAATGGGTTCTCCTTGCCTGCTGCCTAGATAGAGCAGATTGATCAGGTCAGGGGAATTGCAATAAAGAGTTTAATTCATGCAGAAACAGCTGCACAGGAGACTGGAGTTGTATTATTACTCAAATAGGTGTTTCTGAAAACTCGGGGATCAAAGTTTTTGAGGATAATTTGACGGGTAGGGGGTCAGAAAGTGTGAAGTGTTGATTGGTCAGGTTGAAGATGAAATCATAGGGAGTTGAAGCTGTCCTCTTGTGCTGAGTCAGTTCCTGGTGGGGGCCATAAGACCAGATGAGTCAGTTTATGGATCTGAGTTATGCCAACTGATCAATTGAATGCAGAGTCTGCAAAATATCCCAAGCTCTAATCTTAGGTTTTACAATAGAGATGTTATCCCGAGGAGCAATTTGGGGAGTTTCAGAATCTTGTGGCCTCCAGTTGTGTGACTCCTAAACTACAATTTTTAATCTCATAGCTAATTTGTTAGTCCCACATAGGCATTCTAGTCCCCAGGCAGGAAGGGGGTTTGTTTTGGGAAAAGGCTGTTATTGTCTTTATTTCAAAGTTAAATGATAAACTAAGTTCCTCTCAAAGTTAGTTTGGTCTATATCCAGTAATGAACATGGAGAGCTTGGAGGTTAGAAGCAAGAGGAAGATGGATAGTTCAAATATATTTCACTATCATAATTGTTTTAGTTATAATTTTTGCAAAGACAGTTTCATTATCAGCAGTAAGAAAATTATTTTGAAGTCAAGCTTCCATAGCAGCCACTTAACAACACTTTAATGTTCATTTATTTCTGGTGAAATAACAGACCACAACAATGACCACATCTTTCCCAAAAAGTGTGAACTGCTGCGCCCATGACTTGTGGTCCATGAACTGACCAGATCTGTGCTCTGCAAATCAAAGTTGAATATAATCAGAGGCAATTCTGGGTGCTTACATTTATGCAGTAAAAACAAACAAAAAACTCCTTTGAAATCATTAAAGGGATGATTACTTTTATGTTTACTGCTAAAAATTTAGAAAATATAGAATACCTCAGGAAATAGTGAAATAAATATATATGTACAATATCCAGATTTAACAAATATTTAGTCACTTTTCATGTATTTTAAATAAAGGAATGAGGGCATTAAAGGTAAAGTTTCTACTTTTCCCTCCCCCATCTTATTCTCTGAGGCAACCATTATGGTGAGTTTGGTGTACATGTTTCCAGTCCATGTTTTTATAATTTTGCTTGATAGATTCATAATTTATTCATAAATAACACGTGGTCTTACTTTGCATTTTAACATTTACGTAGATGTTATCATACTCTATGTATCATTTTGTGACTACATATTTCAATGTCAATATTCTTTTGAAATTTCAGGTTATTGCAAATATATATAATCATATATGTATATAAATAAATGCATGTATTTTATTTATTTTAAATATTGTATATTGCATTATATAATTTTAACATATCTTTATTCATTTCCCTTTTGATGAACATTTGCCTTCCAATATTTTACTGCTACATAAAATGTTACACTAAGAATAAAGCAATAAACACCTGAAACTAATGTGTAAAGAAGCTAATGAGTAAACACATGAAAGTAATGTGTTTTTTTTACCATTTTTGATATTGTGTGAAATCCAATTTACTTTTCTTCTTTATAGTTATACTCTAAAGTACCTTACATTTTCTTAAAAACAAAACATAATACAGTACAAACTAGGAAAATGATGTCTCTGAATGAACCAACTGGGAAAAGAGTGGCAGGCCATTAGCATTTGAAGAGAAAATATGATATTTTTCAGAATGAGATCAGAAAAGTTCTGTGTCTGTGGGGGGGAAATGAACTACAACTGCGGTAGAGGATGTTCTCATGCAAGCATTTTAATTACTTCATCCCAACTAACTGTAACTAACCTCAACAGTGTGTGTTTTCTTAACAATTCTACTTCAAAAAGTCAATGTTTCAGTAAGACCAAAAAGGAAATATTCCCCCAATTTTCTTAAAGTGTAGATATTTCCAAAACGATGTCTTAAAATATTCTTCTCTTTGTTACATAACCACCAGTTAACATTTCCTGACTTGACTACCAATAAAATGATTTACTCCCATGGGGGCATTTGGCTTAAATTTTTTTTTCTTCTTCTTCTATCCCTTTTCTTAAAATTGCCTCAAACATTTGATTTCACATTACTCTATAGCAAGTTTACTACCTAAAGAAAACTGAAAATATCTGGATATATCTTTCCATTAATTTAAAGTGTAAAATGTTTCATAAAAATTAAACAAGAATATACACTATCCTAACATAAAAACCTCACCTAATAGGGTGATATTTTAAGCATGTGGGTAGACGACTTTTATTTAGGTCTGTAAAGTAGGACAGGAAATGCTATGAATTGATACTTATGTAATCTTAGAGTACACATCAACTGAGTCTTCTGGTTAAATTTGCAATAGCTGCCTTCCTGGTTGAGGTAGAAGAGAAACGCTTCATGTTTTTCATTGATGAAATAAAAATATATTCAACTTTCTCCTCTACAATCCTCAAAAATTACTTTGCCGTTACTCCTATAAGAATAAACATCTATTATAATTGGAGTTTTCTTATCTTTTAAGTCCCAATTTTAAATAGTTTTGCCAAGGGAGAGAAGAAGGCAGAAGAGAAAAGATGATTCTGTAAATTTTTAAAACAATAATATACCTGAAAGAGTTTTTTCTTTTCCCTAAATTTTTAACCAGCATTATATAGGACTTATCCCATGCCAGACACTGTTTAAAGCACTTTACAAATATAATGAAATTTAACCCTTATAATATCTCTATGACATCCTCATTTAAAGAATAAGCAAGTTGAGGCACAGAGAAATAAATTAACTTCCTCAGGATCACACAGATAGTAAGTGGCAGAGCTGGAATTTTAACCTAGGTAGCCCACATTCACCATCCCTAGACAATGCTGGTTAACAACATACCTAAACAGCTTTGGGGATCACAATTCTTACTAAAGATGAGAAAACCGGCCAAGTGCAGTGACTCAAGCCTGTAATCTCAACAATTTGGGAGGCCAAGGCAGCAGGATCACTTGAGCCCAGGAGTTTGAGACCAGCCTGGGCAACATAGCTAGACCTTGTCTCTACAAAAAATAATGATAAATAAATAATTAGCCGGACTTGGTGGTGCACGCCTGTAGTTCCAGCTACTCAGGTGGCTGAGGGAAGAGGATTGCTTGAGCCTGGGACGCTGAGGCTACAGTGAGCTATGATCGTGGCATGCACTCCAATCTGGGTGATAGAGTGAAATGCTGTCTCAAAAAAAAAAAAAAAAGAAAAGAAAAGAAAAAAAAGACATACATTGGTGAAGATGTGCCAGATTTAGATAGGAAGCTGGGAAACTTAATTTTCATAAATAAGAAAAGGTAGAATGAAAGGAAATATTCAAAAAAATTTTTTAAGAATAATTTTGCTTAAGTCTAAGTTAGCAGTTCCTAGGTATTAGGGTCATTATTAAGGCTGGTAAAATTCATTTCTATTAGGTTTGAATGTGACCATTCCTAGAGGTAAGAGGTGAATAAGATGGTTTATTAATACTAATTATAACCTGAGGGGTTTTAAAATAAGTGCCAACTTGTTGTGTTTAAGTATTGGCCTGGGATCCTACTTTCCCTAAAGTTTGCATCTACCAAGACTCTTGGGTCTCAAATATTACTCTAAATATTTCCCATATTTTCCTTAAATATTTTTATTCTGATCAAATATGCATATGTATGTGTGAATGTATGTATGTATATACAGCTTTTTAAAAGGACCGGAGTTAGTTTTATTATCTTGCCCTCAACGTTGTATTCCTGAATTAAACTCTCTTAGACTCACTTAATCCTAGACTCCTATCAACTAAGTTTTTCTTTGTTTTTTCTAAATATCTTTATTTTCATGAAATTATACACACACACACACACACACACACACACAGAGGGAGATAACACATGTGAATAATTTGTTGATGGGTTTCATTTCTCAATATGACAGTTCTGGACAGAATAATATGGTTCTCAAGATCCAACTGCATTTGCAGCAATGTCGGTATATTGTAAAATAATTGAACTGCAATTGGTGATGCTAGTTTTGTCTATCTTTGTAATCATACATTCAGGCTGTATCATGTCTGGTTAAACTGCAAGCTGTTGGCCGGTGACTGGATGGGTTTTGCTGTATCAGGAGGCAATTTGTCATAGACATGCCTACCAGTTGAACAAAATAAATAAATAAATAAATAAATAATACTTTATGTAATTCTGGGGTTAAAAATGGATTAAATATTTCCACCTAATATTGCAAAATTTATTAATTAAATAAATGGAGATCATTTTTTAAGGTTAATTTTAAGGGCTAATACACTTTTTTTTGCTCTAAATATTTCCAAATGAATGGGGTATTTATTACCTAGACATATTTTAATGGTGGCATATTTCATCAGATTTGTTTAAAACGGGCCCTTATGCCAGATAGTAGAAGAATATATTCTGAATGATTTCAATTTTTTCCCAATTTTTTTGAGATTTGCTTTATGGTCCAGAATATGCTCTATCTTCGTAAATGTCCCATTTATACTTAAAAAGAGTGTGTGTTTTCTTGTGGTTGAGTGGAGTGTTCTTTAAATATTTGGATACAGTAGTTGAAAAGGTTCATATATGCAATATCCTTATTGATTTTCTATACACTTGTTTCTGATAATCACTAATATTTGTTTCATTTTCCTTTTGATTCTGTCAATTTTTGATTCATGCATTTTGCAGCTTTGTAACTTAGGGACATTATATATTCTTGATGAATTGAACCTTTTGTCATTATGAAATGTTCCTTTTATCTCTGATAATATCCCCTGCCCTGAAGTATATTTTGTCTTTTATTAATATAGCCACTCCAGCTTTCTTATGATTACTCTTTTTATGGTATTTTTTTCATCTTTGTAATCTACTTATGTCATTTTAATTTGAGCGGTTTTATTGTACACAGCAAGTGCGTTTTTCTTTTTTATTCAGTCTGAAAATCTCTTTTATTTTTATTTATTTTTTATTATACTTTAAGTTCTAGGGTACATGTGCAACCTGCAGGTTCGTTACATATGTATACATGTGCCATGTTGGTGTGCTGCACCCATTAACTCGTCATTTACATTAAGTATATCTCCTAATGCTATCCCTTCCCCCTCCTCCCACCCCATGACAGACCCCAGTGTGTGATGTTCCCCACCCTGTGTCCAAGTGTTCTCATTGTTCAATTCGAACCTATGAGTGAGAACATGCGGAGTAAATCTCTGCCTTTTAAAGGGAAGGTTAGGCCATCTGCATTCAATATAATTATTGATGTAAATGTGCTTAAATCGATCTTCTTGGTTTTACCTTTCAGTTGTCCACAAATTTGTTTCTCTTTTCTTTTCACCCTGCTTTATTTTAGCCAACGAGGAAGTTTCATACTTCATTTTGTCTCCACTACTGGCTTATTTGCTTTGCTACATTTTTGAGTAGTCATTGTCTAGGGTGGTAATTTGCATTTTTATTTGCAGTGTTCCTTCAAATAATATCGCATCCCTTCAAGTGAAATTCAATAACCTTATAAATGATATACTCCCATATCTTTTCTCCTGTTCTTTGTGTGTGACTTTCCATACATTTTATTTTTACATATGTGGCAAACTCTACACCGGATTTTGATTACTGTTCTTTAAATTAGTGGTCTGCCATTTTTTTCCCTAAAAGGCCAGATAGTAAATATTTTAGGCTGTGCAGACCATTCTGTCTCTGTCAAAACTGTTGAATTCTGCCACTGTAGTGTGAAAGTAGTCATAGATAACATGTAAATAAATAGGTGTGCCGGTGTGCCAGTTAAATTTTATTTACAAAAGGAGGAAGGGGGCCATATCCTATAGGAGACAGTTTGCTGACCCTTGCTTAAATTAATTATTTAATCAATTATCTTCTGTTGACACTAAAACAAAAGTAAACAACAACAACAACAACAAAAAACCCTCAAAAACATATTCACCACTTTTGGCTCTTTTTATTTCTTTGAGTGAGTCTGAGTTTCAATGTGACATAATTTTTCTTCTGCATGAAGAATTTCTTATGCCATCTTTTCTGGAAAACAGTCAATAAACAAAATTCATCAGAATACAAACAAATGACAAGTTTTCAGCATTCTAATGTTGAAAATATTTTTATTTTATTTTAGTTTTTGAAAGATACATTCGGGGGTAAGGATATTTTTATGTAGTATAAGAGCATTTTTTTTTTTCAATACTTCAAATATTCCTTTGATTTTTGTTTTGTATTGTTTCTGGCAAAAAGTCTGTGGAAATTCTAATCTTTGTTTCCCTGTAAGTAACATGCCTTCCCTCCTCACTCATGTTCCCTTTCCTCTGGCTGCTTGTAAGATTTCCTCTTTATCACTGGATTTCAAAAATTTGATGATGATATTCCTTGATGTTGTTTATCCTTCTTAATTTTTTGTACTTGTTGGGTTTTTGAGTTTACAATTTTTATCAAATTAAGAAAATTGTATGGCCAGGCATGGTGGCTCACACCTGTAATCCCAACACTTTGGGAGGCTAAGGTGGAAGGATTACTTGAGCCCAGGAGTTCCAGAGCAAACTGGACAATTTAGTGAGACACATAGCCCTATAGGAAATTTTTTTAAAAAACAGCTGGGCATGTAGGTGCATGCCTGTCATCCCAGCTACTTGGGTGGCTGAGGAGGGTAGATCCAAGCTCCAGGAGTTTGAGGCTGCAGTGAGCTATGGTTGTGCCACTGTACTCCAGCCTGGGCCACAGAGCAAGAACCTGTCCCATTAAAAAAAAAATTGCTTGGGACTTTTTTTTTTTTCCAAACTTTTTTTCTGCCTGTTCCCTCTCTCTTCTTCTGTGATTCCATAATAGACTGAGTAATGCACCTCCCCATTCCCTAATCTCTGGAACCTGTAAATATGTTGCTTTAAATGGTAAAGTGAACTTTTCAGATGTGGTTAGCTTAAGGATTTTAATATGGGACAGTTATCCTGGATTATCTGGGCAAGTCCAGCATAATCACAAGGATCGCTATAAGAGGGAGACAGGAGGATGAGAGTGAGAAGGTGATGTCATGACCAAAGCAGAAGTTGGAGTGATACACTTTAAAAATGGAAGAAGAGGTCAGAAGCCCAGAAATGCAAGTGACCTCTAGATGGAAAAGGCCAAGAAGTCGACTCCTTTCTAGAATGTGCAGAAGTCATGCAGCTCTGCCAATTCCTTGATTTTAGCCCAAAAGACTCATTCCTGATTTCTGACCTCCAGAACTCTTTAATGTTTTTTAGCTGTTACTTTTATTACAATCTCTTACAGCAGCAGTAGGAAACTAATACAGGCTCCAATTTTAGGTATGTTAGACTGCTTGATATTGTCTCATAGGTAACTGGCTCTTTTCATTTTTTGGCAGTCTTTTAAATTCTGTGTTTTATATTAAATGTCTTCTTTGGCTATGTCTCAACATTCTCTTATCTTTTCTTTTGCAATGTCCAATCATCTGGCAAGCCCATCTCATTATTTTTAACAAAAAATATATGTATGCTTATTGTTTTTCTCCAGAAGTTTTATTTGATTTGTTTTTATATCTTGCTTCTTTCTTTGATAGAAAAACATAAATATCAAGTTCTGTTTTGATATAAAAACCTAACTATCAAAACACAACTTGATATTTATGTTTTTCTTTAAATCTTTGAGCTTATTTATAGGTCTTTAAAACTCCCTCTCTCTTATACTATTATCTTTATTTTTACTATTTCTATTCGCAGATTTTTTTTTCTTCTGGTTATGTGTCATAATTTCCTGATTCTTTATATGTCTCACTGTGTTTGATTACATTGATATTGGTAATTTGATGATAAATTTGATGGTAATTTGATTGGT
The DNA here is from genome assembly GCF_000001405.40 of Homo sapiens. Taxonomy (NCBI): domain Eukaryota; kingdom Metazoa; phylum Chordata; class Mammalia; order Primates; family Hominidae; genus Homo; species Homo sapiens. The sequence continues at coordinate 7,675,443 of NC_000020.11, read as the reverse complement.
AAATTCAATGCTTTTGAGAGTCCAGATTTTGTTATTTACCTTTAAAAAATGTTGAACTTTGTTTGGACAGTAGTTAAGTAACTTACAAATCAGTTCAATCACTTCCATGCTGGTTTTTAAGATTTGTTAGGACATGTCTGTACTATTTTTTATCATAGGGCTACTTGAGTCTTAACTACTGAAGTTAACTCTTCTATGCTTCCTACAACATGTTTGATGTATTCATTGAAATAACTGCATTCTTCTAGATAAAACTTTAACGTCTTCCAGCCCTGTTTACACTTTTGTAATGGTTCAAGTTAAATCATCCTGATAATTATTTGCCAAGCATCAGGAAATACCATTCTATTCATGTGGGTCTTAGTACTTAGAAACAGGCTCAAAGGAACCCCTATGCTGATATCTGGAACTCACTCTCTCTGTGCAGTTCCTTGCTCTATGGTATTTTGTCCCACAAAATCAAACTGTCCCCATCTCTCCAGACCTGATCTCTTTTTTCTCATCTCAATGGGATCTTCCAGCTCTGCTTGTGGCCTACCTTGCTGTGTCACAGTCTGTGGTATGGGTTGAGGTGAAAAGCTGGTAGATTTTAGAGCTCATCTCATTTGTTTTACCTTCTGTTATATATCACAGTCATGCACAGATAGTTGTTCAATGTCTGAAAGGCACTCTTTTACATATATTTTTTAATCTTCTGGTTGTTTCCACTGGGCGGGCAAGTTCAGATTCAGTTACTCTAACATGGCAAGTAGTGGAGATCTCTGTATTCTAACCAGTGATTTTTATTTCAGGTCCTTTCCAGAAGGATTTGGATTAACCATAAATTGTGTCATAATTACCTAATTTTTTAATGTTTCCATATTCCAAAGTCAATGTGAATTTTATAAGCAATATGCTTACATTTTTTCTTAAACCTTGATGAGGAATTTCATTTCTTGGCTCAAAAATTGTTAGTAAGTATTTATAAATTTGACACTCAAAACAATTGAAAATGAAAAAAATGCAAATATATGGTCTTTTATGCCTTGTTTTCAGCAAGAAGCTCAACCTTGGGGAATATCTTTAAAAGAGGGGGAAGAATAAACCTTTTGGCAATGTTATGCAAATATATGACCACTTAATGAAATTTTAAATTCATTTTTTAAAATGTGGTTTTTGCCAAAGGTAGGTTAATTCTTCCCTAACCTTCTTCTTCCTCTTTTGGTAAAAAGTAGTTTAAACATGGCATTCCTATCCCACTGTTCCATATAAATAAGTTTCTTTTGAGGCCCATATTAGCTCTGTATGAGCATCACATACTTATTTTTTTAGTCACTCAATGCTTTGTTGGTTGATCTGGGTCCCAGTTTTCTTCATGACCTATAAAATTGTCTTTTCCAACTTCTTGGCAGCAGCCTCTTACAGCCTTGATGATGTTTCATGTGGCCTGCCCCTTTTCTTGGCTAAGCTCAGATCATATGTCCATCATCGGAAGTGTACACAATGTGGTCTAACCACGAAAGAGACTTCCAAGACAAAATCATAAATAGAGATGCTTTACTTTAGAAAGCCAAAATATCTGTACCATCTGTGAATACAGAATTTGCCAAAGAAAAATAAGTGGGAAATATATGGTTTTCCTTTTGAACTTCCATATTAAAATGGGTTCAGTGTTGAGGTTATTTAGCCATAAAATATATTTTTAAAAATAGTGTTAATTATTGTTATGCTGGCTCTCCATACACTATTTTCTTCTGTCATCATAACACAAACAATTCTGTGGTTTCATTTTTTCTTACAATATCAAAAAATTCTTAAAGCATCTTCTGAGCAAAGAACAGAAATAATAATAGTTGTTAGTGTGATGGTCATTTACTGTGGTATGTCATTTATATATTGCTTTATTTTATGGTAGGAATGTTAGGGAGTTGATAATATAATTATGTAATTACTAGCACAAACCATTAGTGCCAAAGATGAACTATAAAAAATTAATTAGCCTTTTAAAAAAATATGGCTTACAGTATTACACACTGGTTGGATGAAGTCAAGAAGTGCTTGAAGTAATCTGAAACAGTGACAGGGAGGGCTAGCAGAAGGAATATTTCTACCTAGAAATTCTACCATAGCTATTCAGATCTGACTAATGGCACATGATTAGGTAGCTTGGAAAATCTTGATCTTTTTAGCTGTCAGGTATTTTAAATATTTTTAAAGTTAAAAATATTTTTAATTAAAATAAACAGGTGAAATGGCCAAAACATTTAAAAATGTGTAGAATAATCTTCAATTCCTTGTCATAAAGAAAAATGTAAATAAGCTGCTGCTTAGAAAATAAAATCTCTCCTGGTGGTTTTTGACTTATAAATTAAATTTTGGTTGGTGTACTATATCTCATTTAAAATTTAGTTTAATTGTTTCATTAGATAAAAATTTAGACAATATAAAATGACATGAAAAATAATTATTTCTCTAGTCATTACTGCTAGCTGCTATAACAAACAATCTTTAGATTATAATGCGGAACATAATAAATGCTATTTCTTTCTGTATCATAGTCTAACATAGGACATGTAGCTTTTCTGCCTGGCCTTTCTCCAAGTGCTAATTTAGGGATCTAATTAGCGAGCGAATGCAGCTTTCATTGTTATCCGTGCTCTTTCCTTGACCGCCTTAGAATCCAGTGCAGACTCCCTGCGTTCAGTAGAATCAATGAGCAAAAGGAGGGGAGATGTGGAAAGAAGGCACTCTGGTTTCTTAATCGCTTCAGTCTGAAACAGACACACTTAGCTTCTTCTCATACATCCTTGGCCAGAACTTGTCATATAATACAAATCTATTTCATAACTGAAGAAAGAAAGGGAATGTATGTGAAAGAAGTTGAAACAGCATCTAAGAAATCTCTGGTATCTTCCTCCTCCTCAATTCCTCAGTCCTTAATGCCCACATGTCTCCCTTTTAGAAGGAAATGTGTATTTGTGTATATGTGTGTATTCATATTTATCTTTTCTTTAAACCAAAGTAGTGCCCTAGGCCGGGCACAGGACTTCCCCTGTAACTCCAGCACTTTGGGAGGCTGAGGCAGGTGGATCACTTGAGACCAACATGACAAAACCCCGTTTCTACTAAAAATATAAAACTCATCCGCGTGTGGTGGCACACGCCTGTAATCCCAAGAATCACTTGAACCCAGGAAGCGGAGGTTGCAGTGAGCCGAGATCGCGCCACTGCACTCCAGCCTGGGAGACAGAATGAGATTCTGTTTAAAAAAAAAAAAAAAGGAGTAGGACTACCCTAATACATTCTTTCTATTACAATTTCCTTTATCATTTAATTAATCATATTAATATATTGATCAGTCTTTATATAGACAAATATACATACATGTTATATAAATATATTTCTCTTTCTCATTCTTTTTAATGACCATATAGTATTACATTGTAGAAATATGGCATATTTAACTATTTCACTATCAGTAATCATTTAGGTTAATTTAACCATTAACTAACAATTTAAAATATTAATAAATAACACTTTGTAAGCAGTTAATATGTGCCATGTAATGAACTAAGTGCTTCTCATTAATTATTTTGTTTAATCTTTAATTCTGTGATGAATTAATATTATCCCCATTTTACGGTAGATGAGACAGAAGTTTAAAGATTCTTAGTAACCCCATTCAATAAATCAGAGAAAGTAGGTGGTAAAATTGCTATATAAACCCAAAAGTGTTATTCAAAGTCATCAATCATGAGTGCTGACCACAGTGACTCTCAAGCTATACATACATAATAGGTTTCAGTTTTATAATTGGCTATTATAAAATGAGTCTATGGTTTCCTTTTATATTCAAATTGTTGAATATAAAATATACTCATGGGGCAAGAGGTCCCATGAGTATATTTATGGGAAAAAACTCTACATCAAGGTGTTGTCTGCTACCCACATTTCCTCTTCTCTAACCAGCTGCATCTGAAAATTTTTCTGTATTTGCATCTCCTCACATGGACTGTGTAACAAATCCTTAGTCTCTATCTTCCACGAAGCCACTTGCTGCCTTTTTTGCTGATTTCTCATGGGCGAGAATTAGGTTGAATCAATACCTAGCTGCAAGGGGGTCTGATTGAGTCACTAAAAGTGAGTATTCCATTTCATGACATGAACATCTAGTTGCAAGGTTGTCTAGAAAATGGAGTATTAAACATTGCCTTCTAGCTTAAGTGGTCTAGCAATATAATTCTTATTAAAGAGCTATATACAGAAATTTCTTAATCACAGCAGTGTTTGTCCTCTAAGATCCTGTCTCCATTTTCAGAAAGAAAGTGCTTCTCTTCAAATGTGCTACAGCAATATTAAGAGCTTGTGAGGCACACAGTGAAGAGAAAGTCTCTAGTAATTTTTCTGATCTCTTCTCATGATAGGTGGGATTTTAATGGCTCAAAGTTTCTAAAATTATTCTTCTCCCTGTGTTAAAAAATGCATAATAACCAAATAATTGATTTTTATTTTTATTATTTGACGATTAGCTGACCAGAAAAGTATTCTTTTTAGAAAAAAAAAATTGAAATAAACAAAAGTCCTGAAATCTATTATCACTCCTGTAGCTGAAAGAAAGGGAAATAATAAGAATTAGCAGAGTCAAGAAGTATGTGGAACTCACAAGGAAAGACTGAGAGTCAGGAGCAGAGGTTGAAGCTACTGCTGGAAATGCATTGTTAACAATGGGAGAAAGAGAAAGAGAAATTACAAGCAAGTACCTGACACTGGCCAAATTCAATTGCAAGCCTGAGAGCAAAGGAGCCCAGATGGCAAACTCTGCACTCATGACAGAGTTCATCAGCAGAGGGTGGAGAATGGATCTTGGGGAAGAGAGAAATCAAGAATAACCATCACATACGAGAAAGTCTTTTGAGGTACAGGACACTTCTGATTTCTCCTCAAATATCAATAGATAGAGGCAACTTCACTTAACATAGGATCAAAGAGGTTTTGATATTTTTGTAAGTGGGCTTTGTAGGACCAAAGCTCTGATTTAATTGGATTCTTTTCAGTGTTGAATACTTGTGAAGTGGATCTGGTTGTATAATTTTAAAAATTAGAAAGGTTGTTCTTTTTTTTTTTTTTAACCAATACAGAGAAGTGCTTAAAGGAGCTGATGGAGCTGAAAGCCAAGGCTCGAGAACTACATGAAGAATGCAGAAGCCTCAGGAGCCGATGCGATCAACTGGAAGAAAGGGTATCAGCGATGGAAGATGAAATGAATGAAATGAAGCGAGAAGGGAAGTTTAGAGAAAAAAGAATAAAAAGAAATGAACAAAGCCTCCAAGAAATATGGGACTATGTGAAAAGACCAAATCTACGTCTGATTGGTGTACCTGGAAGGTTGTTCTAACTTTAAAATATCTTGTGGTAGATTGAAGGTGGTATAAAAACTTGCTGCTGTTCCTCCTGTTGAGAGGTGGAATGTATTTCCCTGCTTCCTTGAATCTACACTAGTGACTTCTTAGACCAATAAACATTGCAGAAGTGACGTTTGGGGCTTCAGAGGCTCAGACATAGGAGGTCTTTGTCGCTTTCATGTGGGTCTCTGAGAATATTTGCTCTTGAGACAGTCCCCCTCCAATCACAACTGTTACACTTTGAGAAAATAAAGCCACATGTGCAGCCCATATATAGGTGGTCTAGTCAACCTGTTTAGCTATCAACAGCCCATGTCTACTCTCCACCATGTGGGCCAGCCATCTTGGACATCTAACCGGTAGAGTCTTCAGGTGACTACAGACACAGCTGCCATGTGACTGCAACTGCCTGGGAGGCCTCAAATAACAACTCCCCAGCTCTGAACCCTGTCAACCTGCAGAATCATGAAAAATAATTATGAATTATAGTTTTAAGCCACTAAGTTTCAAGTGGCTTTCACTCAGCAGTGAATAAGTGGCAAAATCTTCAAAGAAAGATTTGAATTCTGGAAAACCTGAGCAAAATATCCAATGATAATTTCTCCTATCACTGATACAGAGAAACAAATTTAGGATTTGTTTTCAAATAATATTTTTATCTGAAACTTAGAAAATCTTTTTAAATAATAAGCTCTCCAAACTAGAGCAATTCTTATTTTCAAACCATTCATAGCCTGGCCATTTTTCTTATGAACTTTCTGATGAGATCTTCATGCAAATTATAGTCTTTTCCTGTCTTTTGCCTTCCAAAGATGGACTCGATGCTGCTTGCTGCTATACATGATTCATACATAACAACGGATACTCTAGAAGTGGGCAGTTTGACCATGTTTGGACCCATTCTCAACAGAGTCACTAATGCTCCATGTGTCTCCAACTTCAATATCCATGTTATTTAGATGGGGATCTTGTGAAAATACAGATTCTAATTTGTATTTCTGGGGTAGTTCCTGAGAATCTATACTTCTAATATTTTCAAGTGATATCTATGTTGATGTTACAGGTCCACGTTAAGGAACATGGACTTAGAGGACATCACACTTGAAAAAAAGTAACTATATTCAAGAAGAAATTACTTTTACTCTTGGAGGAAAAGCAACTCACCAATAGGTAAATGATTGTTATGAGTCAGATTTTATTACATTCAATTGGCCATATTACCAGTAGCTGTTACAGCATTGCACGTTTACATGCTTCCTGAACTTGGCATATTCCTTAAATATCAAGACTTATCATATCTACCCTCTGTTTTCAGCTTCAGTTTGCTGTTAGAGATTGAAGATTACGCGAAGTTCAGAACACAGGTGTTATTACATTTTGGCTGTCTTCCTGACTAGCATGATCATACTCTTGAGTACCCACTGTTCTCCTACAGAGAGTTTATGAAAACAGGAAAGCTTGATATTTAAATAATGTTTATAAATTGCTTGATTTGCAGAAAAGCAGACTACTGTTTATTACATAAAATCTACATACATATATGTATAAGACCCTGATAATAGGGCTAACATGGTTTATGATTATAAATCAGTCTGGAGGGGTTGGTAGCATTGATGGTCTGTTTAAGATATAAAGTAACCAAGTGAAAAATTAAAATTGAATCTACTGTTGTGGAATTTCATCTCAAATCGTATTATTTGTTCTTCCTGAATATCCGTCTCCCTTCTGCTCTGCCTAACCAAATTTCCATTTTAGTTTTCATCTGTCAGAATGGCAAACAGTTTTTAGAAGTTATGGTTTAAAAAATCTCAAAGAACTTGGCATTTTCAAATGTTGCTAATGGAAGTTCAAATAGGTTCAATATTTGGGGGCGAGGGACAGAATAGCAAGAATTATCAAATTTTTTAATAAATTTATGTTTTATTTCTAAGACTTTAAGAAAACAATCATGGAGCTATATGAAGATTTATCAAGAATGGTCATAACCTAATTTAAAAGAGTCAAACACAAATAGAAAGAGGGAACTGCTTTAAAAAATTATGGTCCATCTATGTACAAAGAAATACCAAGAAGTTAATTTTTAGGATGCATAAAAAAGACTATCCAATGACCTTAATATACTGTCTTTTAGGAAATTAAAAAGTCAGTAAGCATATGAACTGATTGCTGCCTACATCTTAAAATTTCTAAACAAACTTCATAAAAAATACCAGAGTATATTCAACTATTCACAGAGCTAGCATTTAAAGCATGCAACTATGGATGATTTTCTTTCCTTCTTTGTCCTTTGTATATACTCTCCACCGTTTTTAATGAGTAGGCTTCTTTGATAATCATAATTAAAAATAATTTTAAGCAGCTTTGAAACACTCACATTAAAACATTTCTTCCATCTGATTTCTATTTTCCTTCTTTCCTTTCTTGGCAAATTTGCCCTGAAAAGAAAACCCAGTTTTATAATCCTATCCTTTGTATCTCTAATAACTTCTCTTCAGATATTGGGAATGTACTCACCTCAAGTCTTTCACTTTTACTTTAGTTGTTGTGTTTTTATTTGCTAAATTTGTATTATTATGATATCCATTTATTATTCATTAAATAAACATCTACTTGAGCACCTAGAGCGTGGCGTGTGCTGTTCTTCGTTCCAGATCTGTCATCACAGCTTTGTTTTCTTTTCTGTATTTGCCGAATGAATCATCTACTCTTATCTATCCATTTATTCAACAAATATTTTTAATAACACATACTTTGTGCTATGCTCCATTCTAAGTTCTAGGGACACAGAAGCAGGTGAACTAGTGCAAACCTTGTTCTCATGAAGCTCACATTGTAACAGGTGGAGAAAGATAAAAAATGCAACAAATAGGCCAGGCAGGGTGGCTCATCCCTGTAATCCCAGCACTTTGGGAGGCCAAGATTGGCGGATCACTTGAGGTCAGGAGTTTGAGACCAGCCTGACCAACATGGGTAAAACCTCATCTCTCCTAAAAGTACAAAACTTGGCCGGGTGTGGTGGCTTACGCCTGTAATTCTGGCACTTTGGGAGGCTGAAGCGGGTGGATCACCTGAGGTCAGGAGTTTGAACCAGCCTGGCCAACATGGTGAAACCCCATCTCTGCTAATAATACAAAACATTAGCCGGGCGTGGTGGCAGACCCCTGTAATCCCAGCTACTGGGGAGGCTGAGGCAGGAGAATGGTGTGAACAGAGGAGGTGGAGCTTGCAGTGAGCAGATACTCCAGCCTGGCGGACACAGCGAGATTCCGTCTCAAAATAAAAACAGAAACAAAAACAAAAAATTAGCTGGGCGTGGTGGCACAAGCCTGTAGTCCCAGTCTTAGTCAGGAGGCTGAGGCAGGAGAATGGCTTAACTCTGGAGGCCGAGGTTGCAATGAGCAGAGATCGCGCCACTGAACTCCAGATTGGGTGACAGAGCAAGACTTCGTCAAAAAAAAAAAAAGTACAAAAATTAGCCGGGCATGGTGGCACGCTCCTGTAGTCCCAACTACTCCAGAGGCTGCGGTATGAGAATTGCTTGAGCCCGGGAGGCGGAGGTTGCAGTGAGCCAAGATGGCGCCACTGCACTATGGCCTGGGCAACAGAGTAAGACTCTGTATCAAAAATAAATAAATAAACAAATGCAACAAATAATTAAATACATAGTATATCAGAATGACTTGAAGTGGGGCAGGGGAATCATTAGAACCAGGGATGGGGCAAGATTACAATATAAAACAATACATCAAAGAAGGCCTCTTTGAGAAGACATGATTTGAGCAGACTTGAGGGAGCTGAGGGAAAGACATGCCAGAGGAAGAAAGAGTTATTCGCGGGTGCTTATATTGTTATTTAAAATAATTCCTGTCAGCACCGCAAATTTCAGGTTTACCAAATAATTGGTCTATCATTTTTAAGTTTTGAATATTGGCTGACCAGAGGAGAATTATTTTGAGAAAAAAAAATCTTGAAATGGAAAAACAAACAAACAAACAAACAAAAACACTCTGAAGAAGACATATTTCATCCTAACACAATCCGGAGGGCTAAATTAATAGAAAGCACGTGTCTGAGACAGGTATCCTTTCCTGAAGACAACGACTGTGACCCTGACAGCACTGTAAACTCTTCAAGAGTCGTAACAAGGCAGAAAGACACCAAGTTAAATGGTGATGAATTGAGTCGCTAAAAATAGATCTTAAAAAGTTGAAAAAGTAAGAGGCTCTTTATAAAACCTCTCTTGAAATTTACAATCAAGAGTTGCTAACTCATCTTTATGGCATTTCTCTTTAATGGATTATTCAGAAGAAATTGCCTGCAATAGCTGAAAGTCCAGATGGGCTTCTGTTAAAATCCCCTACTGTGCATTCATTGCTGTAGATGGCTTCCTGTCAGAATACTGTGTAAATTAGCAGCCTGATGTTCTAAGACTGGGTTAAGTGGTCTGTTTCAGACGGGGAAGCATTTATGGCATGAAAATACAAATGCTTAAGTAATCATAAAAGTATTCCATTTTCTGAGGCTAATTTTACATTAACACTTGGCCTATCATATAGCTCATCAGGTCTTCCCTTGTAATCAGGAAGGCATGTGTTCCTTATCATAGAAAAGCATGGGGGCAGTTTGTAATCTTTTTCGTGAAAAGAATCTTGTAGTAAGATGGGGAAGGAGGTTAAGAAAACAATAGATGTGTCAATGTCATTGGAGGGTATACATCTGTAAACCATTCCCTCCTGAAATGTTGGAAAGATTGCAATATAAATACAGCTCCATCACATATTTTCCTTTTGTCTAGCTCCTCTGTTGTCTGGAGTCTCGTGAGATGAAATGCGCACCCCGAAACGCATCCCCTACGAATCACAGTGGGAGAACATCACACTATTTTGTGGCCCTGCTTGCTCTATTTTAGCCTCTGGTATTTTTTTTTTTCTGCAGATGCCAGGTCTGGTTCAGGGATGAAGCTCAAAGTTAAAACCAAATCGATTGCATACACAGGTGGTTAGACTAGAATGTGTTTGAATCTGAAAACCAGAAAAATGCTTTATGTTAGAATGCTTCCAGAAAGTCATAGAAAAAAATCTTCAGGGCAAAATGATGCCAGCATAAACAATCGTGGATTGCTTCAAATGCAACTGACCCTTTTGCTGTTCATTCCTTTTATACATCTACTGTGCTGTCTTTCAAGTTAAGTACAAAGCAGAAAAAGTGGAGTATTTTGAGTACGAAGGAAGGTTAGTTATACTGTCTAGGCATGAACATCTAGTGTCAATGATTAGTTTCATGTTCAAATTACAAAGATTTTATACAAATTAACAGTGATAGGGTCTCATATTCAAGTGCCTATATGGGTTATACAGGTTAGACAAACCAGTGGTTTTAAGACAGTTGGGATTGGTATAGCCTGTGGCATACTCAAAAGCCCAGCCATCACCGAAATAGGTCAGCTACAAATTGGTTGCTTTGTGGAACTATGAACCCAGTGTTGGCAGATCTTTTAAAGAAGAAACAATAAGGGCCTGGTGCGGTGGCTCACGCCTGTAATCCCAGCACTTTGGGAGGCCGAGGCAGGCGGATCACGAGGTCAGGAGATCGAGACCATCCTGGCTAACATGGTGAAACCCCATCTCTAGTAAAAAAAAAAGAATACAAAAAATTAGTCGGGCGTGGTAGCGGGCGCCTGTAGTCCCAGCTACTCGGGAGGCTGAAGCAGGAGAATGGCGTGAACCCGGGAGGCAGGGCTTGCAGTGAGCCGAGATCAGGCCACTTGCACTCCAGCCTGGGCAACACAGCAAGACTCCGTCTAAAAAAAAATAAGTTAATTAAAAAAAAAAAGAAACAAGAAATCTGATTCTGTGCATGTATGTACATGTGTGTAATTTTCTGTGAGTTTATTGCTTTATTTGACTCTCAGGCAGCCAGATTGAAATCATATACCCATGGCTGTATTAAAAACCCTTTATGGTCTTCGTGTCCCACCCACAAAACCCCGATTGATTAAGAGTTGAGTAGGCAGGCTAATAGTTGCAACAAATTTAACACATGATGGGCTGAGTTTTATATTTCTTAGTAAAACTTCAGTTAGTTATCTTTCTGTAGAGAAATAAGAGTTCTTTTTAACAAAGCTAATATTTTTATAAGTAGTATTTAAAATTAATTGTACATTTCAAAAAACAGGAGTTAAAAAATAATCTTCCCAAAACCTTTGGTATCTTAGATCTCAGAATTTTTTTTTCTAAAGGTGCACTAAAATTCCAATGGACTTAATATGATAATTTAGAGTGCAGTTTAGCAAAAGTAAATTGTAATTATTTGTGTTCATCTTGAAGATAATAGTAATACGCTTGAGATTCAAAAGGATATGGCCACACAGACTACTAATGACTCACTGGGTAAGGACAATCTAAGCTTTCCAGAGCAAAGAGATATCTCAATTTAGAAGAGGTCATCAATAAGCATATGAAAGGATTGAGCACTAGAGGAACCCCCCAAATACAGATCCCAGAACTTGCAATGATCCAACCCCAGGACTGTGCTCAGGAGGCTCAGCAATGTTAATGGAGCCCCATGAAAAGCAATGGAGAGCAGTAGATTCTGAGGATTCCTAGCTCTGCCATAACTCATTTGATAAGCTCATTCAATCCTAATTTTATTTATTTATTTATTTATTTATTTATTTATTTTTATTATTATTATACTTTTAGTTTTAGGGTACATGTGCACAATGTGCAGGTTAGTTACATATGTATACATGTGCCATGCTGGTGTGCTGCACCCATTAACTCGTCATTTAGCATTAGGTATATCTCCTAATGCTATCCCTCCCATCTCCCCCCACCCCACAACAGTCCCCAGAGTGTGATGTTCCCCTTCCTGTGTCCATGTGTTCTCATTGTTCAATTCCCATCTATGAGTGAGAAGATGCGGTGTTTGGTTTTTTGTCCTTGCGATAGTTTACTGAGAATGATGATTTCCAATTTCATCCATGTCTCTACAAAGGACATGAACTCATCATTTTTTATGGCTGCATAGTATTCCATGGTGTATATGTGCCACATTTTCTTAATCCAGTCTATCGCTGTTGGACATTTGGGTTGGTTCCAAGTCTTTGGTATTGTGAATAATGCCGCAATAAACATACGTGTGCATGTGTCTTTATAGCAGCATGATTTATAGTCCTTTGGGTATATACCCAGTAATGGGATGGCTGGGTCAAATGGTATTTCTAGTTCTAGATCCCTGAGGAATCGCCACACTGACTTCCACAATGGTTGAACTAGTTTACAGTCCCACCAACGGTGTAAAAGTGTTCCTATTTCTCCACATCCTCTCCAGCACCTGTTTCCTGACTTTTTAATGATTGCCATTCTAACTAGTGTGAGATGGTATCTCATTGTGGTTTTGATTGCATTTCTCTGATGGCCAGTGATGATGAGCATTTTTTCATGTGTCTTTTGGCTGCATAAATGTCTTCTTTTGAGAAGTGTCTGTTCATATCCTTTGCCCACTTTTTGATGGGGTTGTTTGTTCCATCCTAATTTTAAATGCAACAAAGTCTGCATCACACTTTTTAGAAGATATGGAGAGACCTGTCACATTTAGATCATTATCAAATTAGTTTTAAAAGAGCTATGATTTTGGTTGAGAATTAGCCCTGGAAATAAATTATCTAGGTATTGAACTAAGAGTTTTTTTAAGAGCATGTTTAATTGAAACAGTCTAGAATCAGTGCAAAAATTTTATTCTGACTTGACCCAGCATTAATCATTACCTGGGTAGGATCTCTAATCTCTATATTCAGCCTTGTGAATAAAAATAAAGGCAGCCCCTATGCTAATTTCTCTGCCTTAACACAATGCTGCTTCTTACTCCTGCGACACTTGAAAGTAACTTAGCAAATCTTTATTTTGAGGAATATTTCCTGACATCTATTCAGAGGTCACCAACAATATGTAAGTGAAGGGAAGAAATAAGTGGCACATATGGAGAATGAAAAAGATAACTAGCAGAAATCCAAGACCATTTCCCATTTGGAAAGAACAACTTCTGCTATCAAATAGATTGGATCACATAATTCTGGTTGGTTCCTGCCAACTTGTCTTTGTTTATATTTAAGGAAATATGGGAAGAGTTACTAAATTAGCTAGAAAACCACTGGGTATAGGCCTCAGATTTCTATTATCTATAAATATTTATCAAGCACATGCCATATGTAAGGCTCAGTGAGGAATGTGGCTATGGTATTGGCTACTGACATTGCACTCTGGAAGCTCTGAAACTAGAGGGGAAGGTGGAAACAGCGTGCAGCAAGTTTGCTCTTGAGAATATGGCTGAAAAGTGCTTTGACGGCTATAAAGATAGACTTCACAAGGTGCTGGTGGAGCTTTATGATGGAGATAAAGACCTTAGGAAATTACTGAGGAGGAGAAGATGGCGAATCTTCATGGAAGGGTGGACATAGTGAGTGATGCTTCTCAGACTGCAGAGTGGCTTGGCATTGCCTGCCTTCACTGGATGTCTACATGATGCACATTGCCTTAGCTCCAGTTACAAATGTTCTTTCTTCCACCCCCACATACTGTGAGGTCTCCTACACACTATGAATATCATTATAATTTTTTAATACTATTAAAAAATTCTGTTTTTGTAAAAATATTGTTTTGTAAAAAACAATTCTGTTTTTGTAAAAATATTTGCCTTTGCTCTTTGCAGAAACTTGCTGAAATAAACATCAAAGGAATGCTTGAAATTGAATAGAAATCACAAAAGGGTATCACATGAAACCTGGGTTGTTTGTTTATGAGGTGTGTGAAGTGTGTGTGTGTGTGTGTGTGTGTGTGTGTGTGTCAGAGAGAGAGAAAAAAAGTGAGAGAGATAGAGACTAATTTTGTAACTTTAGAGCCAGTGTTCGGTAACATTTTCTCACTTGGAACTTCCTTAATATTTTTTGTAGGCACATAAACTTTAGACCTTTTTTTGTAGAGGAGATTATCTAGTGCAAATAAGACTGCTTGAGTTCCAATACATGCTCCCTTACTTATTAGGTTTATTACTTGTGCAAGATACTTAACCTTTCTAGGATGCAAGTCAAAGAATAACTCAGAAAATTATAATTAATTTCTGAAATTTATATATAATTTTGTACTTACAAATATACTAATAAGAGAAAAGTAATTAGATGATTGTCAATGGAAAAAAAGGAGGGATCATAAAAGAGGAGCAAATGGAAAGGAAAAATTACAAACAGTCTGGTAACAGTAAATCTTGCTTCTGTAATTTTGTTTTTGTCAATATAGTTGATCTTCTGGCAGCAGCAAAGAGGCCACTTGGTCATGGGAAGTATGTCTTTGAGTAGGCTGGCCAGAGTCATTGATAGCCATAATTTCAGTTGTTGATGTATTCTCAATGGTCCTACCATTCCCCAATCTCAGGAAAAAAAAAAAAAAGCTTGAGAGCTAAGCTGTAGCATACACACGATGGACCATTTTTTGTGTATTTTTCTGTTGTTAGTACTTCTACATTAATTAAACAAAGGCTTGTACCATGTTCTGCATCATTATTCCTTGCTCAGTTTAGTCAGGTATCCAATAAAGTTAATACAGATCATGGGTCTTTTTGTGAGGCTTACATGAGATATTGCATGCAAAGCCCTGACAATGAAACTTGGCTCAAAATAAAAAGTTAGTAAATATTATTGCATCATCATTATCATCATCATCACCGTTACTGAAGGATCCTGATTTAGAGCGCACACAAGAATTATTTCAATATGCCAAATCCTAGAAAACATTCTGCTATAGTTCCCATTTCTTGTCTAAAAGAACCTGCGGTCTATCTGTCTGCAGCATCCCTCCCATGAAAGCCTACACAAAAGGACATTAGAAAGAGAATGATAAGTTTACCAAGCCTCCTTAACAAGAGCATTCTTTGCTCAGGAAGAAGATATCAAATAATCGGAATCTCCTGGAAGTTTAGGATAAATTATTCACGGCTCTAGCTCAAATTTCCATTCTCTCCTTTTTCTACTCTGTAATGGCATGAAATGTTTTCAAAAATATGTTGAAGAGTCAAATCTCTAAAGGAAGCAAACTGTGCAAATATCACCCCAAAAAGGCAGAGTCTCCAAACCAAGTCATTCAAGAATGAAATTCCATGTCATGAGCAAGGTGCCCATTTTCTTATCTTTTGCCCCAAAGTGGGATGAACCTCACTTGCAAACACTATTGTATTATAACTTCTCCACAGAACACAGAATCTTCCTGTGTCTAAAAGCCTTGACTACATGATAGGAAAAAATAGTTGGCCCTAGAGTATTGTTTTTCTTCCTGTGTTACCACTTACTTTATTAGTGGCACTGGAAAATAACTGACAAAATAGGTTTGAAAGACTAATATGTTATAAATACATTTTCCCTTTCAAAATTGTTGTTTGTGTTTTGCTTTGGTTTTGATTTCTGGCTTTGTCCAAGATCCTTTCCTTTACTTGGAAAAGTCATTGATCTTGTAGCTAATGGAATGCTATTTAATTTTTCAAACTTACTTTCTCTCTTTCCTTTTCTTTCTTTGTCTTTCCTTGCCTCATCCTTCCTTTCCTGTTTTCCCTCCTTTCCTCTCTCTTTCTTTTTCTTTTTTTAATAACTTGATTCTGGGAGTAAATATTTAAAAGGGATTCCTGCAGGATGCCACTATTTACAATGAGCAGTTATGAAAGATACCTTTCCTTCATTGGGGACAATTCAAGTTTTAATTTATCTTGCTGATTATATTGGATACTATTTCTCATTTTATCTGGAGAAAAGCCACACAAAGAGGCTTTTGTCTGATCTTCAATGCCACTTATCTAACAATTTTCTGACAAAGCAGGGAGGAAAGAACCCACTGAAATCTGGTTCACTTCTTTCAATATTGGGTCATAGGATAGATAGCATTGATTCAGTTCTAGAGGCACATAGAATAGAGTAAGAGATACTAGTAAGGCTGTTTGGCTAACATGTATTGAGCACTGACTATCTTCCAGGCAAAAAGTAAGTTTTATGTACATTAACTTGTTTAAAACTAATACCAGTCACATTTTAAATATCATAAATTGTATACCTAGAAAGCTTAAATATCCTTCCAGAAAGCAATTCTACAAATCTGTTCTCTTAAGTCGTTTAATATATTACCTCTTGTATATTGCTTGTGTTTTTTAAAGCACCAATGAGGCCATAACTTGAGGTAACATTTAAAGAATGATTTACTTGGAGAGTAGCATGATCTGAATGTAATTTTATTAACTATAGAGTCTAGGTATTTTGTCATCTCAAGCCCTTATTAGAAGCTTCTGTGACATTGAGTAAAGTTGTAGAGATAAATTGAGATTTTTAGACACTCATTGTAGGATTTGATGATGCTGATAATTTCTTCTTCTTTGTCTTCAATTAGTATTTTGAAAATGCTTATTCACTAACTCATTTCAACAATTAACTCACCAGCTAAGAAAACTCTAGTCCTTCATTAGCATTTAATTATTTCTGGAACATTTGAGCTTATTCTGGATCTTTCAGTTACCATTTATTGACTTCCTCCTGGCATATTATCGTCTTAAAGGATTATACAGTGGAGAAGGCACCATTCTAGCCCAGGACTTCTGTTTTGTTGTGTCAATCTTTCTAATCTTGGGCAAATCATAGGGGCTGAGTTTACACAGCTGTTGATTAGACATAGAGTCACCTACTCTGCTGAGTTCACAGGATGATTGTGAGAATTAAATGTTATAAACTATTTGCTTTGGGAAAAAGTGCAAAGTGCTTCAGAGTACAATGATTTTACTCCATTGGAAAGTCTCCCCACAGGTCTTTAAAAGCTTTCATTTTTTCAGGCCATATGTTGTATGGAGAGTACCAACAGAAATGACAACATTCACTTCCACTTAAGAGTCTATTTACTCCATTCAAAGTTGCCCAAAGGAGCTCTACTTCCATCAGAAATTAATGAGCCAGATATATGAAGAGGTTTGTTGCTTATTTTGTGAAAATTAATAGGGCTATGGTTAGTGTAGGGCTATGGTTAGTGTAGGGCTATGGTTAGTGTAGGGCTATGGTTTGTGTAGGGCTATGGTAGCTATTAGAACAACAGCTGCAGTGGAAAAAAATCTTTGTATCGCAACAGTCAATTATGTTTTGATTTAAAAGCAAAGCAGGCATAAGTCTGGGTATTACAAGTTCAGGAGTAAGTTGACATTACTTACAGACATACCTTCATTGTTCTCTCTGTATGCTGATTGCAAGCTCTAGACTTTCATTAATCCAGATGAGCTTGGCAAATGACTAATGTCTGACCTGAATTTTTGCCCTTTGATGATTGAAGGCAGACACATTGATGTGTGTTGTTGCATAAGCCACGTAGAGATATGGCCCTATAAATCCCAAGCAATAAAATATATGACAAAAGAGACAGATCATAGGGTAAAGATGCAATATATTTTTCATGATTTGTAAAACATCATGCTGCCCTGATTAATGTTTTATTATTTTAGATGTAACTGGCATTATACTAAAATATATGTCAAATGGCCTCTTGTCTTTATATAATATGCCAAATATAATGAGGCCAGGACCCAGTAATTTAAAAGGAGGTTTGTATGTATTGCACTGCTATACTTGTGTCTTAAGAAATAAAAATGTCCTGAGCCACTGAGGGGATATAGATGAATTTTGCACCTCTGTAGGTGGAATAAAGCAGATTATGCCCTAAATGGACCACTCCCAGCTCCACTCATTCTGGATGTCTCCTAACCTCTCAAATTGCAGATGCAGGGAGAATGTTTTTACTGGGCTGTCTTCCAACACTTTAAAGTTAAGCATGCAAAAAATAAGACTGTCATTTCTTCTAATGTGTCTCCATTGCCAAATGTCAACAAGGATGGAAATCCAGCAATGTGTCAGGTGTTGTGTTCTGACGATACAGCCATGCATATTACAATGCCTGCCAAGTGTAATAAAAGGAAATGTGTTGGAGTCCAATGTACCAGGTTTGAATTTCCCTGACACTTACTAGTGTGACCATGTCCCCTCCCCCCTCTCCCTAGAATGTTCTTCCTTCTACACTTTAGTCAAAAGTGGCAGCTATCGTTTGCATTACTAGGAGGCTTATGACCTAGAGGGAGGCAAGAGACACATATGCAAATAACTACAACACAAGGTTTTCATGATGCTAAAAGACACCTACAGAGAGCTATGGAAAGTCAGGGAAAGCAAGATGGCTTCCTTTGTGAGTAAGGGATTGGATTAAGAACTCTATCGAGATGACAGCGTTTTAGCTGTGATGAGATAGGTTAGGGAAAAGATGGGATAGTTTCTGACAGGTGAATATGGATAGGAGGACATTCCAAGTTTACTAACAGATTCAACAAAGTTTAAAAGGATACAATAGATACTGTTTTACCAACATGAATTTCTACAAATAGGGAATTGCTACTCAAAGCATCATCCATGGAGCAGAATCATTAAAGCAACCTGGAAGCTTCTTACAAATGCAGGGTTTCCAGCCCCACTCTAGTTCCACTAAGTCAGAATCTGAATTTTAACAAGATTCCCAGGTAATTCATATGTACAGTGAAGTGTGAGAGGCACTGGTTTAGGTTACATAAAGAGCACCCTCAAAGACAAAGTCAAACAAAATATAAAATGCTAAATTAGAAAGGTCCTTAGGAGCTGCCTAGTTTGATACTTGGTTGAGGAAACTAGTTAGTAAGTGGTTGAACCTGAGGGATTTAAACTTTCTCTTTTTCTAACACCAGTGTACAGCTTTTGTAGTGTATTATGTTTGTAGCCTACAATGCCAGTCTGAAGGTTTTAACATGATGTATTAGGAACTGGAGAACAGTTGAAGATTTCTGGTTATATGAGTTAAAAAAATAAAATTTAGAAAGATAATTCTAGTGGTATGGAATAGAGTGGAGGAGAAAGCTCCTAAGCTATGAATATATTTAAATAGTGTAGTAGAAGGTAGAAAGGAGAGTGAGAGAGGTAGAGAAATGAGAAATATTTGGAAGGTGACATTCTCCACTTCTTTTGTGTTAAAGCTTATGGATATATTTGACTCTTTCTCCCTTTACTCTCTCCTTACTCAATCCAACATATAAAAAACACTGCAATATTTCTCAGATAACAATTCCACCAATTCTGTTTTCCCTCAAGAATATTTAATGACTTCCCATGGCCTCCAAGAGTAAATCTACCTACCATGCATGGTATTCAACCTACTAACAACTGCCTCTATGACATTATCTCCTCCTGAAACATCTCTGCTCTTGTCCACTAATTACCTAATTCAAACCATTCATCAATTCATTCACCCACTAAAACATTTATATCACATCGATTTAATAAATCTTATTATCTGCTAGGTCCTCTGCTATAATAGGCAATATGACAGACATGTCTCTATAGAATTTATAGTTTAACACTTACAGTGCTTCTGCTATATGTTGATCATATTGCTAGATGTGCCAGATAAATGACGTGATGCCTGAACTTAGATAGGCTCATGGTCTTGTGTGGTGTGCTTTGGATGGAAATCCTGGGCCCAGTGATTATTTACACTGAAAATTATGGTCTGTTATTTGTGGATATTGTTAGCCTGCTTCTGTTTACATATGAAGGTTTATAAAGTTGATAAATGGGCATGTTTTTCTTTATTCATACCAACAAGTCCTGTTCAAAGAGGTGAGATTGTCAGATTTGTTTAAAATCAGTATCAAAGCTTATCAACTTTGAATAGTCTATTGGGTAATAGAAATGCAGATAACTTCTACAATTATGCCCCAAGCCCTCAACCAATAATATATTTTATTGGAAGGTGTCTATAAGACTGCCAGACTTCTAAATGATTATTTATTATAATTTATCATCATTTTGATATGAAAATTCATAGAATTTGATCCTACTTCAGAAGGATTTCATTCATACTGCTTATCTGAAGTGAGACTCCTTAAACCAAGGGTATTGAGGAGCTGTGATTGACTATGTATGTTTGACTACAGCTCATGCCACTCAGTACCCATCAAGTTGCAAGCTCTTGTAAAAATGGACCAGTTTCCTCATATTGGCATAATATTAACGGTGCTTTCTAATATTTCTTAGATTGTTCTGTGTGCCCATATTTTATCTTACCCTCTCAGGAATTGAGGAAATTCTTGCTAGTAAATGGTAAAACATGGGGGAAACCTGGAGATGTAGATTTGCGATCATTTTCTAGGGACAAAATCCAGTTTTCTGACTTGCCAGTCTAGTTAAATAGTAGGAAATCCTCTGTAGAATTTATCTCATTACAGGAGAAGTTATCAGATTACAGATGCTGAAGTTGTAGAGTAAAACAGTCATTTCTTTTTTAATTCTGAAGGAATCTTGTTGAAATCTGGGAAAGTTGGAGTCACTGAGATAGAACAATTTCAAAGTCATGTTAGTGGATATTCTTACTCCCCTGGGTTTACCATCAGCCCTTGCTGTTGTAGGAATAAATGGTATTTTTGGATGTTTTAATTTGGGCAGAGCTGGTTATGTAGGCTGAGTGCCTCTTTCAAGTTCAAGAATTTCCATATTATGCTTTGACCTTTTGGGATAGAAAATAATGAAGAATTAGCATACACTAGACTACACCCAATTCTGCAAATTACTTTAGAGACAGAGAAGAATGGCTACAGGACATGACCTTGAGGACTGGATGTATGTGATAAGAAATGTCCAAGTGTGGAATCTTTCTGAACATACTCAGAGATACAGAAGAATGTTAATTTGTAAGACTAAGGTGATGTGTGGAATGGGGGAGTGATATGTATTTTTAAAACTCTTCTCTTATTTCTTATATTTTTAATATCTTATATTTACTGAAGGACATTTTCATTCCGGTAATTTATTTCAATTTCCAAAAACACTTGACGTCCTCTTTAAATTTTTTTCCCAAGTAAAGACTGAATTAATCCTCAAATTAATCTATTCTTTTGAATTTCTAGCTGTGGAAAAACAATCCAGTTAGATGGATAATTGTGTTTATCTCAAAAATATTTTACATGGTTCTCAGAGAATGTGTTCCCAAAATATATGAGGAAACAGTAAGAGAAAAGACAACATAAGATATTTTCATCTTTTAAATCAATCTTATCTTTCCAAATGAAAAAAATAAAAGTAAGAAAGAGTATTTTAAAGATGTTTCTTTTTCCACAAATTGTCTTTTCTTTAGCAGAATCGGTATTACCTCCTGTCAGTTTTATTGAATAAAAAGGAAGACATCACAAAAGCAAGTATAAAGTCAAAACCCTGAAAGACATGTTTCCTTCCTTTATTTTGGACAAGAGAAACTGAACTGAGACCAACATTTACTTACTAAATGGTCACAAAGCCTGTGACAGGACCTGACAGGACTGAGCAGGATTTTCTCTGGAAGGAAACAGTCACACCAGGGTAAAAATGGACCTGTTTAGGAAAGCAAGGAGGGCTCCAAGTGTCAGTTTAAGAAAGTGGCAGTTTAAGAGCCTTTGGATGGATGGTGGGCAAATACCTAATTTGGGAGGGGGCAGTTCACTCTTAATATGTCTGCAAGTTCAATGGCTTCTGATAGCTCATATATGAACCAGCATGTGTAGAAAGGTCTCCAATGGACCGTGGTGAATTTAGAAAAACAATGATTAAGCAATATTTCATGATATCAAATTTATTTTAATTTTTGAGAACTTTCCTCTTTTATTCGGAGAATAGTTTATAGGTTAAATTGCCCTTTCTTTTAGAAAATGGCTTTGATAGTTGATGATTGGTGGAGTGTGTGTGCATGCATGCATGCAAGTGTGCTTGGCCAAATAGAATATTACACACATGCACACATTTTATTATAAATAAAATTAGTAAACCATGAAATCCAAAATTCTAAGGAATGCTGCTCTATTTTGCCCAATGATAGTCTGTTAAAGGAATCAGAGTTTTTTTTCTTTAATTTTTATGTTCTGTAGTGAGAAAGGAAGATCAGCACTTAGAAAGTTGATTAATATCTAAATAATTTCTATGATCACCTGTGATTTGGAAATAGTTGAACTGAACAAGAAGTTAAGTTCAGATTTTAAAATTATGACATTAAGAAACCACAGTCGTAGGAGAAATTCTAAGGATTTTGATATTTTATGCTATAAAAATAAAGAAGAAAATATGTGAGTATCATGAAAATGGTACAAAAATACTGCCAATTTTTATGTTTGCCTCAAGTAATAATAACAATTGTAGGCTGCCCTTTATTTAGGAAGATTGGGGAAGTGTCTTGCAGTCACTGTCTCAGTGCTCACAGTAGCTCCTGAGAAGAAGAAAAGATGGGAATTTCTTGCTAAGCCCACTGTACGAAGAGGGGAATCAAGGTGGAGACAGTTGAAGAGACTTTTCCCAGGGCACAGACCAAGACCAGAGCTCAGAATTGGGTCATCCGTCTCCAAGTCCCATCCTGAGGTAAGTCTATTAATTCAACAAAAATCAATGTGGGAGAGCTATGAAAATCATTTCAACCTGTATTTTACTTAAATTTAAAGATTTACTTTTCATTTCTGTCAAGGCATTGGCATTAATTTTATCATGAAATTCAATAGAAAGTTTAAATCTTCTTTACAATTAAGTATAGAGTGTTTGCAGCCCTTTGATTTCCTTTCCTTTTAAGCCACTTCTCCAAAATGTCGTGTTTACCTTCAAAACAGGGGGCTTTGGAAGGGTACCGCTATGGATTGTGATCACAGCTTTGGAATGTATTATATATGAAGTTGGATGAATTATATAACTTCTCTGACCCTCCGTTGTCTCTTTTGTGAAAATTAGTGTAATTGTGTGAAAGATGCTGAGCACAGGTGCTCAAAAAGGTGGCTCATGACCTTCACTGATCATGTTAAAATAAGGCACTCTCAGAATTGCAGGTCAGAATTGATGAAAGAAGAGAAGCAAGGGAGACAAATCAAAGGTTCTCTCCTTTTTAATTGGGGAAACAAGTGCTGAATGGAGAAAACAATCATCTATCTTGAAGAAATGAAATATGAGACAAAAAATAAATCAGGAAAGATGAGAAATTCAACTTCAGAATCCAGGGTGGATCTACTATTTGAGGTTCAGTCCACCTCAGTCCATGGCAGAAATTTCACAGGTAGGAATTCTAGTGAAATTGATAGTGTGGAAATGTTCTATTTTCTTCTATCTTATTTTCATTTTCAGTCTCCTATCCTACTTCCCACCTCCCAATTTCTGGTTCCAATACACTTCTTATTTTACCTCCTAGTTCTGTAATATCATCTTCCTCACCTCCATAAATACTGTTCCCATTCTTTTTGCTGAATGAAAAATGAGTATTAATGGCATCAACCATTAGCTGACAACATCGATGATTTCAAAATAAACTCATCAGGTGTGAGATTTCATTATTTAAAATAATTATTTATTTTGAAAACTTTTAAATCTACAGAAAGGTTGCACAAGTGGTGAAATGCACCAACTTTTGCCACATTTGATTTACACCTTTCTCTCTCTCTCTATTTCTTTCTCTCTTTCTTTCTGTCTCTTTCTGTTAGAGTCTATTTCTCACGTTAAAAATATTCAGTGCATCCTGATCAGAGAGAAACTGTGATTTTATTTTTATTCATTCATGTTAATGATGATTATACTCCCTGCAATAGATTTAGGAATGAAGCATACCCCTCACCTTCTCCCTCAACACTCCAATTTCCTGTGACTCCCAGGTTCTCAGAAAGAGAAGCTTAAATCTCATTGAAATACTTCATAATGAAATGTGAGTGAAGTCTAACCACCCGAGAGAGCATTTGCACTTAATAAGATTAGACTGTTAATCAACTTAAACCTGTAATTGTGGAGAAGATGGGGGTTTGTTAGATAACATATTTGAGTGACAAACTCCTGGTGATCCTTGCCTTCTCCAGTCCAAAATTATGTCTTCTGGGTCTTTCCCACATGGAGTATCCATTTTAACTGCACACTAATATTCCCCGAATCTCCAACTTATCCTTGAGAGTAGCTTTTTGTCTTCATGTGGCAAATCAAAAATGGAACATGGACTTTAAAAATCCGAACTGACAGGAAATCCATCTTGTGTGTGGTTCTTGTGTCTAAATGCCTACGTAATATAGTCATCTTTTTGGGATAAACTATGGTTTGGAGAGATAGGCAAATATTTGCAATAGCAAATCACTAATCTAGGTATGAAGAGGGCCCCGTGTATTTCATTAAAGGAAGGCATGCCCGTGTTCCCATTTCCCACAAGCATTTTGGTTAAATGACCCTTCATGTGAACCAGAGTTTGGGCTTCCTCTCAGACATGCTGACTTGGACCTCCTAGCACAGCTGTAAGCGTCTAAAGAGGTTGCACTGCAGAATGATCCCACATATCTGATGAACCACAGGATGTCAACAAGGCACACCCATTGTCCCACATTTGGCAGGCTCTAAAAAAAGAATGCAGCAAGAGCTTGTAGCAAGCCAAACCAACCCTGACCAGAGTAATAGGCTCTTCCAAATGGGTGCGGCCAAGTGGATCACATTGAAAAAGAACAGGCCCTAGGTTAAATCTGTATTAAAGAAAAGCAAGGGCTTAACTGTCACGAAGAATGAAAAAGGAGCTATGGACCCTTTCATCCTCACCAGGGTTTGAGAGGGTGTTGACTGAACAATATTGTTCCAACCTCTAGCTTTTTCCTTGAATTGAGAATCTTAAGAGTAAAGGGAGGTGGTTTAAACTCATGCTGGTCATACCACACCTCAACATTCAGGATAGGGCGAGGTTCTTAAGTTGTAGCTTCATGAGAAAGGCCCCAGTGACTTTTTAATTTGGACTCAGAGAAAAGGAAAGGTCATGTCTCTTAACTACTATTCACTGTAATATACAAGGGAAATAGAAATACATTCATCTTCTATTTTTATGCTCTACATCTGTGGCTGTTTATCCTCTTGTCACACACAGTTGCACACACATTCAACACACAGATTGATACTAAGGAATGGGTGTAAGATTATGTGAGCATTATAGATACAAGTGAACACACAGGTAAACATCATGTTATTCCACCTCACATATGCAGAGTAAAGAAGAAACACGTATCACACAGTAATTAAGAAAAAAGTTCTTGCTCTAAAAGTTTGTCTAATCTGAATGTGGACTGGGAGCAAAAGAAGTGTATGTATCCATGGTCTTGAAGAGTTTTCTGAACCATCAAAAAGGATTTGAATTTGTGTTCTTATAGTTTGAGCTCTAAATCTAATTAATTGTGTCCTGAAAACTTAAAATTGATAAATCTAGGCGAGTACTTCTGCTAAAGTACTTCTCCTAAATTCGAGCTAAATTGTCCATCTTTGTCAGTGGTCTTACCCTGTTCTTTCTCATGCCCAGCCTACATCAAAAGGCAACCTTGCATTATTCCCTATCATCATATTTCCCATTTCATTAATCAGGAAATTTCGATATTTGTTTCTATCAAATGTCCCTCTAGCCATTTCTCTTTCCATTTAAAGTCCCATCAGCCAATTCAGACACTTATAACTTCAACCTTGACAGAAGCATTTGGCTGGGCTTCTCTTCCTCGGTTTCCCAAACTTCAGATCCTTACTCATTTCTCAGACCACAATAATTATGTGTAATCCACTTATTTGAAATATGTTAACACTGTACTGAGAAATCATTTGTCACTGAATATTTTACATGACACCTAGTCTACCACCTTTTGCCTGGTGTGTTAGACCATTCTTGCATTGCTATAAAGAAATACCTTAGGCTGGGTAATTTATAAAGAAAAGAGGTTTAATTGGTTCACAGTTCTATGGGCTGTACAGGAAGCATGGTGCCAGCACCTGCTCTACTTCCTAGGAGGCCACATGGAGCTTTTATTCAAGGCAGAAGGCAAAGTGGGAGCGGGTACGTCACACGGTGAGAGTGGGAGAAAGAGAGAAAAGGAAGCAGGGATGCCACACATTTTTAAACAACCAGATCTCATGAGAATTCCCTCACTATCTAAAGACAGCACCAAAGGATGGTGCTAAACCATTCATGGGAAATCTACACTCATGATCCAATCACCTCCCATCAGGCCCCAGCTCAAACATTGGGGATTACATTTCAACATGATATTTGCGGGGACAAACATCCAAATTATACCCCATGGTTTTCAAGGCCCCTTCTTGTTTGTTTGCAGCACAATAACGCAAACATTTCCCCCACTAGTATGTGGCACATACAACATGCATTGTGGTTGTAGTCTAGGTTTGTTCAGCAACCCCTAGGCATAAAATGGTCATTTCTGCCTAACAGCCTATGCTCCACTTTTCTTGCAACAATATGTAATCTCCCATTGCCTTCGTAAATGCTTGCCAGTTTTTCAGCCCAGATAAAATCTGTGTTCTGGAAAGCCTTCTAGGACTACACCACTCTCATTTATGTGCTTCTCTGCTAAAATTTTTACCAATGGTAATCTCAGTCAAACAAATTACACACAGACAAACATGCACATATTACCTTCAAATGTTCACTGTAGTTTCAGAATGGGTTTGTCTGACCATTAGAGATGGGAAATTATTTTAGAGAAAGAACAATGTCATATAAACACATTTCCCTGCAAACACTTTAAAGCAGTAAGCACAATATATATAGCATGCAGCATTTAGTGAATGCTTATTTTGGAATGAATTAGGATTGACTATAAACAATAATATTTATTTAAAAAAATCACATCACCTTAACCAAACTATGTCAAACCTAACTTTGCTCTGGACAAATACAGTTTTGATCTATACATGTAATAATACTGAAAAAATAATATCAGTTTTCATTGTAATTTGGAGCTTTCTAAGAGCTTTCTTGTGGAGTAGAATACTTTCTCCACATAAGAGCACTATAAGGTGAATGTCATTGATGTCAGTGATGGCCTATCTGGAGCAGCCACTGCCATGACGCCACTTGCAGTGGGGAAGGCATGACCAGGGCTGTGCACCCCATGGAGCCAGCAGGAGCTGGGATCAGGCAGGAGCCTCACCCTTCTAGGCGCAGCTGCAGCCACTCAGTTGCAGCTGCACATCCAGGAATCTTTGCACTCTCGGGGGTCCGGAAGCCCCCCTTCCCTGCCAGCTTGGAAGTGCCTGCTCCCCTGCCTGGCCTCTTGCCGCTCCTAATGCCTCTTCCAATTATGAAGCAAAGTTGAAACTGAACCTGGGTGTTGTTGCACCTCGGCTGTGTGTATGCATGCTTGGGGCAGCTCTGACATGCCAGCCCCCTGCCACCTTGGCCCCCTCTGAACTTTGGGCACCAATGAGCATGGAAGGGAAGCTGAGCAGGGGGGTAAGGGCAGCTTGGCATGGGCCTACAGGCACCTGGGTGCTGTGGACTGTAGGTTGATGGCAGCAGGAGGCAGAGAGGCCCCTGAGCAGAAAGGGGTGGGTCCCCAGGAAAGACCCACCTTCAGGCCCAGGATGGCCTGAAGCCTAGGGGTCAGGCTGCAGTTCTGCTGATGGAGTGAGAATTTCTGGTGCTCTTTCCAGGCCCACCCATGGTCACCCCTGGACCAATCAGCACACACCTCCTCCTCTCTGAAGCCCATAAAAACCTTGGACTCAGCCAGACTCCAGCAGATGTCTGGACAACCTGCCTGTGGAAAGGAGCTACCCGCTTCCAGTTTCGTGAGAGCTGTGCTGTTGCTCAATAAAGCACTTCTTTCCTTTGATCACCCTCATGTTGTCCAGGTACCTCATTCTTCCTGGATGCAGACCCACTGAGTGGTGGAACTGAAAGAGCTGTAACACAAACGGGGCTGAAACATGCCCCCTTCCTTGCCACATCGTGGGTAATGAGATGAAGATAAGAGAGAAGGAGTGAAGAGCTGTTGCCCTTTGAGGAGCTCAGACCTAGAAGCTTCCTGAGCTAGGGCTGTGACACCCTCTTTGGGGCCCTGTGGTTCCTTATGTTTCCAAGCTTCTGGGCACCACCATGTTTCCCAATGCCCACAGTGGAAGATGCTAGCAGTATGCCTGGTCCAGCCATAGCCTCTCAGGGAGCCAGCACCCATGCCAGCACCTGGAGCTGCCCACACCACTGCAGCTGGCAAGCCTGGCTTTGCGCAGTGGCTGGACCCCATGCTTGCTCACTCACACACCCCTCACTGCTCCATGCCTGGCTCATTCTTGGCAGGTGTGGAATCGGGGCTGGTAGTATGAGCTGAGTTCAGCCTGCCAGGCCAAGTTGGTGGAATGAGCCCAGCAATTCCAACCAAAACTCAGGCAAAGGTGAAACCAGCCACAGAGGTTTCTGGCTGGAGAAGCAACACCCCAAAGATCTTGTGGCATTGTCATCATTTTAGAGAAGAGGAAACTATTTCAGAGAATGTGATTTGGTCAAGATCACACTCTAACTCTCACCTTACCTTTACCCTAGTCTTGACACTGTTCCTAATATAACCTAAGCTCAAATCGTAACATTAGGTTTAAATCTCACCCTCATCTAATGCCAGATCTCATCCCCAATTTAACCCAGATCCTAGCTTAACTCTAAACTTAACCCTAAACCTAGCCTAGCTCTGGTTCTAACCCTAAACGTAGCTCTAGTTTCAGTTCTAACCTAACTTTAACCCTAACAGTAATCCTATCCTAGTTCTAAACATACCCTTAACCCTTAATTATAGTCCTAATCCTAGTCCTGGCCTTAACACCGCTCATATGCCTAACCCCTAGCCCTAAGCTTACCCTCAAAGTCACATAACTAATGTATAATTTAAATCAAGAAAGTCTGCAAAGAGAAACATGGACAAAAGAGGGGAGCTGGTTCACTTATTTCAGTGCCAGAAATATTTGAAAAGTAAGCATCACTCTTTTCTCAGTAGGAGTCTGACTTGTAAAAAGAGAAAACTCAAGTGGAGAATTCTTTTTCATAAGTAAATATGTTTACATATGTTCTCAATAGGTTTTCTGGTGTCTGTGACACAAATTAAAATTAACTTTTCCTCACATTTAGGGGTCTGAGGCTTGACTACAACTAAATTGGGCAAAGTGGATTTAGAATCAGCAATTCCTACTTGCTGTGAAAAAGATTAATGAAAAATTGACCAGAAACTTCAGAGGGACATTGTAGTAGGTTGAATGGTGACTCCCAAAATACATGTCCATGTCAAAATCTGGAATCTGTGAATGTTACCTTATTTTGAAAAAATAGTCTTTGCAAATGTAATTAAGTTAACGATCTTGAGATGAGATCATCCCAAATCCAGTGACAGTTCTCCTGAGAAGAAATAATAGGAGAAGGCAATGTGACCGCATGAATAGAGATTGGAGTGAAGCAGCCAGAGGAGGTGAGAAACAGAATCCTCCCTGAAGCCTCTGGAGGGAACACAACTCTCTTGACACCCTGATTTTGGACTTTTGGCCCCCAGAATTGTGAGAAAATAAATTTCTATTGAATTTTAAGCCACTGAGTTTGTAGTAATTTGTTACGGTAGCCCTTGGAAATTAAGAAACATGCCCTGACATGGCCAACTATATTAAAAAAATAGAGAGGTAAGAATTGTCAATTTGCTAGGCTAATGTTCCTGTAATGAACTACTAGGCAAAGAAAGCTTAATCAGAAAAAAGATTGCTAGTGGTGAAGCTTCTGCTCTAATGATAATGAATCAGTGTTTAAGATTTTTACATGAAAAATGTAATTTTACCGCCTTTACTACCTACTACAGACCATCCATGCCACTGTTGAGACAAGAATAAAATGACAAAGCTGCTGCTCTTAAGGATTTCACAGACCAGGAAAGGAATAAATGTGTAATACATAAATTTAAGGAGAATATTGTCATCAAATGAGTAGGAAACCCAGACAACTTTATCTCTGAGGCGAGGGTTAGGGGGAAGGGAGACTACTGGAGAAAAAAACAAAATAGAAGTGGAATGTCACTAAGAAATTAATTTCTCAAGAGATACCACTGATTGGGAACGTGGAGAAGTCAGTTCCAAATCTGCTTCTTATATAATCTTTTTTAACTTATGAAATTGACTTGATTAATCATTCATGTACATGTATTTATCTTTTATTGTCCCTCTTTTAATGTCAACATTTTCTATTATTAATCATGCCATTTACAAACACTTAAAACAAGATGGGCGATACTCATTTCCATGAGCAATTTTTCATATTGAGTCTTATGTAAAGGAAGGGAAGTTGCAGCACTGATTATGCTTTAGAATTGCTGACAATATAGCTATGATTTCCCCCATGCGGTTTTGGGAAACTTAACATCTGATCAGCAAATGCTACTGGCACAATAATATTCCTATAGTATAGCTTCAATCATACTGTGTACCTGCTCAAAGACTGTCAACACATTCCCACTCTCTGCCATGTTATCTTGATCTGGAATTTGAGGACTGTCATCCGACTCCTTTCTGGATTTGTCATGGTTCTTGACAAGTCACTACTTCAACCTTCTATTAAATGTGTGCTTCGTCATTCGTTTGGTGTCCTTTTTACATGGATTCTTTAAATTTTCATGGAATCTTACCTGACTTTCGAGGAAATAATTTGTGACTCTCAACTCAAAGCTTCCCTTTCTCCATCTTCCCCAACCTATGTTCTTTCAACATATATCTATTTAGTGCTTATCATTTGCCAGATACTGGGCTAGGTGCAGGAAATACAGAGCTCCCAAATTTTTACCTTCCAAAAATGACCTACAAATCTTCATCATCAATTATTGTTTCTCCCACTAGAAGACGAGCAAATAATCTTGATGACAGGAGGCATCTTGTTTTTGTTCACTTATTTGTTTCCACTTCTCCTGTGACTGGCATATAGTAGGTATTCAGTAACTTTGAATGAATGAATGAGTAAACCTGGACATTGGTATTTGTATTAATCATAGATAAATTATAGCTGTTTTCTTGAGAAAAGGACAATTTATTAGAATCATCAGCCTGTATGAAACATGGAAAATACCTGGGCAAAAGATAGACTCAATTTACAGTAGTCGATGCTGTTCTCTTCCTTCTCTTAAGTAACTGACTTTCTTCTAAGTGAACCATACTTGGTAAATATAACTTGAATCACTCAGAGATAATATAATTTGTTGAGCTTTAAAAACCAGGAGTGACTTAATTTATTATTTCCCATAAATAAGAACAAAAACCGCGATTACTTTTGCACCAGCCTAAAAGTGATCAGAAAGTTACTGCTTACGGTAGAAAATGGGAAGACAGAGTTATATTTAGTGATACTGCATTTGTTCACTTTTGAATAGAAAATACCAGCTTTAGATATCTACATCAGTGATTTGAAAACTTATTTCAGTCACATGCCCTTTATTAACTGGAATCTTTCATGAACAAATATACAAAATAAATGAAAGTGGAGATGCTCTGTGTGAAGTGGAGGCTGAGTAGTTTAGTGATCTTGGGTCATCCTCCGCTCTTTTGGTGACATTCTGTTAGCTCCAACAAAGCCCCCAACCTTCAAAATATTTAGTTTAAAGACTCTAAAGTAGCACATAAGACAGAGATAAGAAAGTATCAATGCTTTAAATCAATGGACAGTTTAAATATATATGGCAGAACAAAAACATCTCTGTCTTGCTATGTTCACTGAAACGATGAAAATAAGAAGCAGAAAACTGAAGATCATGAACCTTCTAAACTATCAGAAAACAAACATTCAGACCACAGAACAAAAAAATGCACAAATCATAGCAAAAATTAAAAACGCAAATGAAGCATTAAAAACAGAAAGCATAAAATATGATGGTGAACCTAAGAAAATACATTTAACTTAGCAATGAATATATATAAAATAAACATACTTGTAAAAAGAAAACTATTCTCAGATTACATTAAAAAATCAGAACTGTATCAAAGCACTTTAAATAAAAGGCATTTAAAATAGTGTGACAGATAAATTAATAGTAAAATGATGGACAAAGACACAGTAGAAAAGGACAAAGAAAAAGAAAAGCAAGAGTAATAGTATCCAACAAGGTTGAATTCATGTGACAAGGATAGCCATTCAAAAATGAAAGTGGCATAAATTACAATGAATATATGCCATGAATTTTTTTTAGCCAAATCACATAGCCCAAAAAATCTGAAGGAGAAACTAACACTCAAAAAAGGAAAATACATTTTTAGAAAATACTGGCTGAGATTTTTACCTACCTCCTTCAGAGCAAAACATATCAACTGTGCAAAAATAGTACAGATATTTAAGATATAAGGATATTAATAACAAGTTCAATGAAGTATATGCAATTATATAGCCAGAAAATCAAAAAGACACCTTCTTTTCATGTGTCCATAAATTATTTACAAAATTCTACCTTGTATTAGGTCACAACGATTCTCAGTGACATTCTGTGCTCTTAATGTAATAAATCTAGAAATTTATTTAAATAAAGAGAAAACAACCTTACCAGAAAAATGTTAAGGAAATTTTCTCCTTAACTTTTGGGTCAAAATTAATATCAGAAATTAAGCTACAACACATTTAGAAAAATAAGGGTTGGAAAAATCTATGCATCAAAACGAAAGGGGTATGGTTAAAGCAGTCTTCAGAGGAAAACTATTAGTCTTAATTCCTAAAGATTGTCTAGTACTTTGGGAGGTCGAGACAGGTAAATCACCTGAGGTCAGGGGTTTGAGACCAGCCTGGCCAACATGGCGAAACCCCGTCCCTACTAAAAATACAAAAATTAGCCGGACATGGTGGCACATGCCTGTAATCTCAGCTATTAGGGGGACTGTGGGAGGATCACTCGAACCTGGGAGGTGGAGTTTGCAGCAAGCCGAGATTGTGCCACTGCACTCCAGCCTGGGCAACAGAGCACGACTCTGTCAAAAAAAAAAAAAAAAGATAACCTAGTTCTGTACAAATTTAGCTCACTAAACCAGAAAGAACAAAAATGAAATACTCAATAACTCAGCATCCAACCGAAGAAACTAAGAAACAAAAAAGGAGAG